>NC_000016.10:34042411-34289329 GCF_000001405.40 Homo sapiens
TGTTTTTTAAGGTAAAAATCACATAGTATAAAATTAATAACCATTTTAAAGCATACAACGCTGTTGCTTTTAGTATATTCACAACGTTCCAGGACAATTTCATGATATCTGTTCTAAAAACCCATTATGCATAAAGTTTTTACACTCTATTCTGCTTCTCTGAGCCCTAATGACGACTGATCTGATTTATACCCCAATTGATTTGTTAATTCCTGATGTTTCATGTGAATAAAGTCAAGTAATATTTGTCCTTTTGTGCACTTAACATAATGCTTTCAAATTTCACCCATATTATACCATGTATACGTACTTCATTCTTTGTTACAGCTGAAACTTGGGTGTCCATTTGTGAGTCAACAAGCATATGGATTGTTTCCACTTTTTGACTGTATGAGTATTACTGCTGTAAATATTCATGCACATGTTTATTTTTTGAGCACCTACGTTTTGTAAGATTAACAGCTGACTTAACAGAAACAATGGAAGGCAAGAGGTAGTAGAATAATATATTCAAAATATGCAAAGGAAAAAAAACTGTCAGCTGCCAATTCCTTATCCAGCTATTAGTTTTCAAAAATGAAGATAACACAAAGATTTACCCAGATAAACAGAAATATTAACTGAAATTGTTGCTGGCAGACCTACCATACAAAAAAAAAAAAAAAAAAAAAAAAAAAAAAAAAAAAAAACATCAAAATAAATTCCTAAGGCTAAAAGCAAGTTAAACAAGACAGTCATTTGAATACACATTTTTTAAAAAGCACTGGTATAGATAATATTAACGTGATAAAAGACAGTAGAAATACATATTTTCTCTTTATCATAAATTGTTTATAAAATAAATGTGTATAATGGCCGGGCATGATGGCTCAAGCCTGTAATCTCAGCACTTTGGGAGGCCGAGGCGGGTGTATTACGAGGCCAGGAGATCGAGACCATCCTGGCTAACACAGTGAAACCCCGTCTCTACTAAAAATACAAAAAATTAGCCGGGCGTGATGGCAGGCGCCTGTAGTCCCAGCTACTCGGGAGGCTGAAGCAGAAGAATGGCATGAAGCTGGGAGATGGAGCTTGCAGTGAGCGGAGATTGTGCCACTGCACTCCAGCCTGGGAGACAAAGGGAGACTCAGTCTCAATAATAATAATAATGATAATATGTGCATAATGTATTTCTGAGTATTTGACATGTAGGAATGTAATATGTCTATAACATATTTTCCAGTAACATCAAAAAGGAGGTAGTTGGAAGAAAAATGTATTGTGATAAGGTAATCACTCTAGATGGTAAAGTAATAATTACTAAAATGTATTGTTGGCTTTGTAACTTTAATAGATGTAATGTGTAAAGTGATCATACTTTAAAATGGAGGAAATAAAAGAGATTTGTATAAGAGTGATATTTCTCTGTATTACTAAAATTTCTCTAGTATAAGTTGGAAGATGATTTGAATAATTAATTTTCCATATACCTATATGGTAAACTTACAACAACAACAAAAATCCTCAAAAATATATAGTAAAATAATTCATTAGTAATCTAAAGTTCCCTATTTTAGAAAATATTCATTCATTGCAAAATAAAACAATAAAGAAAAATATTTGAGATATATACAAAACAAACGGTAAAATGGCAGACATAAATAGAATTATACCAATTATAATCTTTTTTTCCAATTATAATCTTAAATGTGAGCAGATTAAAATCCAATCAAGAGGCAGAGATTGTCAGACTGGATTAAAACAAGTGATCCCAATATATGCTGAGATGCAAGGACACTAATGGATTGAAAGTAAAAAGATGACAAAAAATATCATGCAAAGAGCAATCATAAGAACACTGAACTGATTATACTCATAACACACAATATAGACTGTTAAAAATGTGAATAGGATTTTAAAAATTTATATTGTAGTAATACGGGGGTCAACGCTTTAGGAAGACATAGCTATTACAATCATGTATGCACTGGTATGAGCTAAATTGTTTCCTCTATATAGATGCTGAAATCCTAACCACTGAATATGACCTCATTAGGAAACAGGTTCTTTGCAGGTGATCAAGTTAAGATAAAATCAGATAAGCCTGAATTCAATATGACTGATGTCCTTATAAAAAGAAGAAATTTTAGTAGAGGGAGACATACACACAGGGAGAGTACAATGTGATTATGAGGGCAGAGATTAGCCAAGGAATGCCAAAGACTGCCACTAAACCACCAGAAGCTAGAAACAAGGCATAGAACAGACTTTCTCTCATAGCCCTTGAAGGGACCATCCCTGCTGACACCTCAATCTCAGACTTTTAGCTTCCAGGACTATAAGACTATAAATTTATGTTGTTCAAGGCACCCAGTTTGTGTTACTTGGTTATGGCAGCCCTAGAAAACTAATACATGAACTAATAACAAAGCATAATAACATGAAGCAAAAATTGGCAAAAGAGGAGCATCAGCAAAATGGCAATGGGGACAGCTGCAATCTTTCATTTCCCCACATAAACATCACACAACTAAGAGAAACTGTCCGAATAAACTTTGCCAAAACTCTGGAAAATGGTCAAAAGATTATAACAGCCAAGCGAAAGCAGATTCGAGAAAAAGACAACTGGAAAACTTTATGACATTTTTAACTTGCCTTTGCCCCAGCAAATTGGCAGTTTTGAAGTGTCAGAAGCCCACGTTCCCAGTGAGGAACCCTGGTCCATTGTCCAAAGGAACAAGAGAAGATCTTACCCAAAAATTATTATGTGTCTGTTCTGACTGGTCTGGGGGATACCTAAAGGACTAATGAAAGGCTTTTCTTTTTCTGTGTTGCTAGAATACAGAACAGATAAGGAATGGACATTATTAAGAAACTCTGCAAGGAGACCTAACAAACCACAGATGCTTAGGGCAAAAATTAGAGTTTACACATATAGTAGATCACCTTCAGCACAGGAAGAAAAGTTGGAGAAGAGTATTTGAAAAACTAAGACATTCAAAGTCATTCACATACATGGGAGAGTCTAGAAAGTCACATGTATGCATAGGTTAAGCCGCTTGCTGACAAATGTCATAAGAAGACCCTACACTTTTACCTTGGCTGATCCCTCCCCTCAGAGCAAGCTCTGTGCAAGAGTGAACTTGAACTTCACTCAGTGCAAGAGTGAACTTGAACTTCACTCAGTGCAAGAGTGAACACACACTTTGTGCCAGCTTTAAAGAACCCAGCACAAAGCCAGTCTGCATGGCCTAGAGAAATATTTTGCTGGATAAGGATTATTTGTTTTTCTTTTTGTTTTTCTTGTATTTGCCTGTTTGCTTAGTTCCTGACATACAAGAAAATCACTGTCAAAACATTAGCTTAACGTTTGTTAAGGAAACAAAAAGACTTCAGTGACCACACCTTATAAAGCAAACAGTTTTGTAAATCACTTTGGAAAATTTCACTAAAAATAAAAACCTTAACAATATAATAAGTAAATAAAATTTAAAACCACAAAACATTAGTGTGTTTGTAGGGGGTGGAGTCTGATTTACAGAGCAACCACATAGTAATTATAATTATTATAATGTCCAGTTTTCAAAAAAAGGTACAAGGCATACAAAGAATGGGAAAGTGTGGCTCATTCAAAGGAACAAAATAAATTGACAGAAAATATCCCTAAGGAAACCCAGACATCAAACTTACTAGATGAAGACTTTAAGACACCTCTCTTAATTATACTCAAATGTCAAAAGGAAAACATAAACAAATAAATCAAGGAATCAGAAAAAATATTAAAAAGTAAGAATATCAACAAAGAGATAACAGAAATTCTGGAGTGGAAAACTACAATGATAAAAATTTAAAAATCACCAGAGGGATTTAAGAGTATATTTGCACACACAGAAGTCATGAGCTTGAAGATAAGAAAATGGAAAATACTGACTGTGAGAAACAGAAAGAATAAAAAATAAAAAATGAGCAGAGACTAAGGAATCTGTGGGACATCATCAAATAGACCAACATTCATATTCTAGAAGGATAAATTTTGTTGTTAAAAACTTTACCATTCTTTCTTTTCACCTTTCTTTCTTCCTCCCTCCCCCTCCTCTTCCTTTTTACTTTTCTTCCTCTTCCTTTCTCTTCTTCTTTCTCTCCTTCATTATCCCTTTCGCTCTGTTTCTCTTTCTCCCTTTCTCTTTTTTCTTTTCTTTTAATTTTCTCAATTACTAAGAGATGTTTAAATACCCTTGCCATGTGAATTGATATTGTTATTTCTCCCTTTAGTTCTCTTTTGAGATTTATAATCACTCTAAGTAAAGAGATAACCCAAACATAAGCCTCACAAACAGGCTTCCATACCATTCTAAATTTGGTGCTGTAATTCTTCATCGCTGTATTAACTTTCTGATGCTTTTAAGGATGTTTTATAACAAATTGTTTAGTTTTTTCCAATGGAATGTTTATTCTGAATTATCTAATTCATATTGTAAGTATAGAGGGAGTTTAATATAAAATTATTAAACTAATATTTGTGAAAGAATGTATTTGTGCATTTAACAAATATGTTAATCCTCAAACTGTTATTGGGCAGCTGAGCATACAGCAATAAAAATAACATAATTTTTATGTGTACCATATTTATGGAATACATTACTGGAACCAATAAATAATTTAATAACATGGTAAAGAACAGAAATTGTATACACTATAGAGCATAGTAATGGAATAATGAGTGATTAAAGTTATTAATATTAGGTAGAAAATGAAGGGTATCTTTGAGAGCAGAACTCAAGGAAGCAAGCAATTCGTCTTATGAGGAAAGAGTTACCTGTGGATAAAGGAGAAACTGAAAAATTTACAAGTCAAGATTTTTTGAGCAAAAACAAAAATATGACTATTAGTCACCAATCCAGTACAGTGAAAAAAAAGTTGAAGAGATATCTTGGAAGTAAACCATGTTGTGGAAGAGCATGTAGGGTTTTGATAATCATGGGATTATTCTGAATTAATTTTAAATGCGATAGGAATATATGAGATAATTTCACCAGAGAATAACATGATTGTGTTTGCATTTCAAAGGGGTGTATCTGGTGCACTCTGTAGAATAAATAGGTTATGTGAGCAAATAAATTGGGAGGCTATTGTAATCCAGAGAAAAAAGGTAGTGACTTAGGTGAAAATGTTGTGAGTATGAGTGGTATTAGTGGTGAGAAGTCGTTAGGCCGTGGATGTATTTCGTAGGACTGGCCAAGAGAACTGCAGCTAAATTGGAGGGTAGGGAGTGAAATGGAGAACTCAAAGATGACTCTCAGCACTGGAAGGTGACAGCTGTCACTGAAGCATGCTGATGCCTCTTATTAAGAGAGTTACTTGGGAATGGCAAGATCAAAACTTCTCACTTTCAAATTTATGAAAAATATTGTTTTCAGAACGAATGACTTTGGGATCAGAAAGCCATCGTTCTAATTGATGGTTCCACGACTACACAGGCTCACACTCCCAAGAGCAAAAGTAAATCATCACAAATGTGTTTCCTGATAATTCTAGAGAATGGAGAATTACTGTAACATCTTTCTGATTTTAGGAGAGGTAGCACTTCCCTTTTTAGCCTAAATGCTATTTTTTTTAAAAGGTCAGCCAGGAGACTCCATTGTAATTTTCAAATGTGTGTAACATAAATTCTCATATGAAATACCACTATGCTTAAATTAGTCAAAACATTTTCCCCATCTACATCTCTATTTTTTCTTTGCAATCATTTTCACAAAAGTGACTGCATAGACCCTAAAAGGGGAAAATCTAGGGTAGGTTATCTTAGCTAGTTAGTTTTGAAGACAGGATCTAGAGATTATTTAATATGAATTAGGTCACCCAAAATGAAGTGTTTACTGAAAACAGCTTGGATCAGCCCAGTTTTCTACCACTGAACCATGCATTTGTTTTCAAAAACACAACAACTCTGGGGAATATTGGCTGCTTCCAACTGTGTTGAAGATGTTAAAGAAAAGAGCATAAAATTAAAAATGATCATCTGAGGCCTTTATAGTCTCTGCTCAAGAGACTAGAGTCTTCCATTCTTAACGAAACAGCCAAATATCTTAATAACTGGGCAAAATCTAAATGTCAGAGAGATAATTTTATCTTGAAGATTGTTAAATTATAAAGGTGATTCACTACCTTGCCACGTCTCTGCATCAAAAATTAGATCTTTGTTTAGGAATCAATGGTACTCTGCAACTTGGAAATAGGAAGATTTTAGAAGACTCAAACATTGACTATCTTGTGTGCAAAAAAAAAAGATGTATTGAGATAAGACAAGTCTTTCCTTGCAAGGATACCTCTAATGCTCATACACCACCTCCCCTAACGTTAATATAGCTTCCAGATCACTAACCAGTGTCAGAGAGCAGCCTATGCAACTATGAATTCAAAAGATGTCGAACACAGGGTCAAGCCTAGAATAAGAAGTCTTAGCGAATTAAGTATGCTTTTTCCCCCAAATTCATATTAACAAAAACTTGGATATCTCAGAGAATGCATTCTAAGTTCACTCAACCTAGGAGGGAGAAACATAATTTTAAATTAAGAGCTGAAGCAGTCTTGTACTAACAAAAAGCAAGGAAAATGAAATATCACACCACAGGAGGGATTTCACAAATTAGTGTCAACATCAAAACCTTAAAATAGGCAAGGAAAATGCAGATTCACAATTAACTCTTCTACTTCTTTTGTTCAGAGAAGAGATGGTTCTGAGAGAATGACAGTGAATTGACCCCAGCTGGTTTAGTTGGTGCTTTCAATTGCTGCTTCTGATAAACTCCTTTAGCTAGAATAAATTGATGAGGATTTTGGCATGTGGTATTAGAGATGGTTATTAATTTTTTCCTCTTATTTGCATTGTTTAATGTAGTAAATACTAGCTGTACATGGCTACTTAAATTCAAATTAATTACAATGAAATATACTTAAATATTGAATTTTTTAGTCACTGTTGGTTCATTATTGAATATCTTCAGTTAAGATTTCCCATCTGAAGACACTAAGAGGTGGCTTAGTTAACTGGTCATCCACAAATATTGAAGCTGTTGTTAACTCCTGATACATTCTCTGCAAATAGAATATTCATGAGCCTCCTCCTGAAACCAGCAGCCTAGGGATAATTTTATAAATTGGATACAAGTTGGAAATCTATACTCTTTAAGTTTTTGAAATATTAGCTTCCCAGGGAAGAAAATCAAATTCATAAGATATGTTAGGACAATTTAACTCAAGATGTTCAAAACTGAAATGACATATTCTACAGTATGTGATAAAACCACCACCTGACAACTTAAAGCAAAACAGGGATTGATCTTAAAGACCTGCCTTTTCGTCATCCCCCAGCCAATCAGTTTTCAAATCTTGCATTTTATTTTGAAAGGTCCTTATCCCCCTAGTCTCTTGTTTCTAGACTTGGCACATATTTAAGTTTGTTACCTCTATCTACTGACTTTCCTCTCTTCAAACAGTATCTATGCCTGCCAAATGTGAACATACAAAAAACAAATCAGAACGCACCATTCTGATTTAAACTGCTTATTAGTTAATACCCTCCAGATAACATCTGGGTTCTTAGCTGCACTGAGTCAAGCCTACTTACATCTTTTTTTTGTCTTTGGCTGCACTTTTCCTATCACATCACACTACAGCAATGCCAAGCTGTGCGGGCCTTCTACCCCATTTCCACTATTTTGCCCCCGCTGCCGCGGCTTTTTGCTTCCGCCGCCGCGGCTTTTTGCCCGCGACTCCGCGGCTTTTTGCCGCCGCCTCCGCGGCTTTTCCCCCGCGACTCCGCGGCTTTTTGCCGCCGCCTCCGCGGCTTTTTCCCCCCTCTGCCGCGGCTTTTTGTGGTTTTTTGCCCCTGCTCCCGCTGATTTTTCCCCCGCTGCCGGGGCTTTTTGCATCTTTTTGCCCCCCGCTGCTGTGGCTTTTTGCCACCGTGGCTTTTTGCCGCCGCGGCTTTTTGCCCCAGCCTTTGCTGCTTTTTGATATCGCGGCTTTTTGTCCCCTAAGCCACGGCTTTTTGCTCTCGCTGCCGCGGCTTTTTGAGGCTTTTTGCCCCCGCCGCCACAGTTTTTGCATCTTTTTTCCCCCGCCGCCGCGGCTTTTTGCCCCCGCCGCCACGGATTTTGCCGCCGCGGCTTTTTGCCACCGTTGCTTTTTGCCCCCGCCGCCGCGGCTTCTTCCCCGCCGCCGCGGCTTTTTGCGGCTTTTTCCCCCGCTGGCCCGGCTTTTTGCGTCTTTTTGCCCCCGCTGCCGCTGCTTTTTGCGGCTTTTTGCCCTCGCCGCTACGGCTTTTTGCCATCGCGGCTTTTTGCCCTCGCTGCTGCAGCTTTTTGCGGCTCTTTGCCCCCGCCGCCGCGGCTTTTTGCATCTTTTTTCCCACGCCTTGGCGGCTTTTTGCCCCCGCCGGCCGGCTTTTTGCCCCCGCCGATGCGGCTTTTTGCCCCCGCCGGCTGGCTTTTTGCCTCCGCCGGCCCGGCTTTTTGCCCCCACCGCCACTGCTTTTTGTGCCCACTGACGGGGCTTTATTCCACCGCGGCTTTTTGCCCCAGCCGCCGCGGCTCTGAGGGCGGGAAGGGCAGACTCGGCTGCCAGCTCTACTGGCGTCCTGGCAATGGTAGAGCTGAGGGGCACTCCTGGTCCAGCTCTCCCGGCTCGGGGCTTCCTTGCCTAGGCGCCCGAGCCCCGGGCTCCCTACCTTGGCCGCTGAGGCCTGCATAGAGCGGCGCTGTGCGCGGAGCGATGGGAGAGAAGAAGTAGGGCAGTGGCGGGGGTGATACGAAGGCCTCGGAGGGTGGCGCAGGGGCCGCGGCCAGCTGGGCGCTGCAGCAGTGGGGGCAGCTCCAAAAGCTCATCGGCATCTCCATTGGCAGCCTGCACAGGCTGTGCACCAAGTGCACTGTGTCCAACGACCTCACCCAGCAGGAGATACAGACCCTGGAGATAAGGGGTTTGGGGACCTGGGCTGGGCTCTAGGAGCGGCCCAGACACCACCCTCAGGGCCCCAGTTCACTCCTGGCCGAGTTGCATCCTTGAGCCCGCGTCACACCCTTGGAGACTTTCCCTCCCTCCTGCACTCGCTGATGCGGCAGCTGGAGGACCCGGGACCAGCCCTCACCTTGGGCAGGATTTGTGGGGCGGGTGCATGGTGGGAACTGGGATGGAGGCTCCAGGGTCCTGTGGAGGGGTTTGGCTGCGCGTGGACATCCCCTTACCCCCAGAATTTCCATCTGGTCCAGCCCTCTCATCTTGTAGGTGAGGAAACTGAAGGCCTGAGTGAGAACTGACTTGCCAGGAACCGCTGTTAAGGAGAATTAACAAAGTGTGGTTATTAAAGGAGAACTGAGTTGGGAGTCAGACCTGGAGGCCCGCACCCTTGGTTAAGACATTATACGACTTTGAGTCTGGCCTGTTGACTGAGGCTGAGCCACTCCATCCTCGTCTGATTGTGGGGGTCTTAACCTCAAGGGGTTTCCTGCAGGAAGAAGCAGATGGGTTTGCTTTCCTAGCTCTGTCCAGTACCTTAGGGACCCTGAGGACTGAAGAGATTCTTGGAGAGCCATCTGGTGTATGTCATGGGTGGGCCTTTTTTGAAGGTCAGTCTGCCCAGTGGGCTGGCTCAGCCTGAATGAACTCTCTTGAATCTTTGGAGTTGTCTGTGTACTTTTAAGGGCTTCTCATCCTTGCACCAAAAGATCCCCTGGAAATTAGTTGAGAAAACCTTAACTTTCATGGGGCCTTGTGTTTGTCTTAAAAGTTCATGCACATGGCCAGGTGTGGTGGCTCACACCTGTTACCCTGTCCTGGATCCCTTGAGTCAAGGAGTTTGAGACCAACCTGGACAACATAATGAGACCACGTCTCTATGAAAAATAAAATATTATCCAGAGGTGGTTGTGCGCATCTGTAGTCCCAGCTACGACTGTGGCTGAGGTGGGCGGAGCACTTGAGCCTGCACTGAGCTGTGATCTCACCAGTGTACTCCAGCCTGGGCCACTGAGCAAGAACTTGACTCAAAAAAAAAACAAAAAAAACAAAAAAAACAAAAATATTCTTGAAGATTTTGCATTCTGTCCCACTATCCATTGGTTTTCATGTCAAGATAATGTCAGAAATTCTTTACAATTGCTTCCAGAAGGAGTAGCCTTTTGATCTAGTGCACAGGTGTCCAGTCTTTTGGCTTCTCAGGGCCACATTGGAAGAAGAATGCTCCTGGGCCACACAAAAAGTTCCCTAATGCTAACAACAGCTGATGAGCTTAAAAAAAAGGTTTATGCATAATTTTCATGATACCCACCACCACAGATAGGCGGAAAAGTCCTTTTAGTCAAAGGGTTGGACACGGCTGATCTAGTGTCTTGTCATCCGTTTTGGCTTTCTCCCTGATTCCAGAATGCAGGTAGAGATGTAGAGACATGCTCTCAGGACAGCTATTGAGATAAAAAAATTCGTTGTCATTTATTCCCAAGCACAGCTGTTTGTCATCTGCATTGAAAAACTCTCCATTCAAACTGCTGTCACATATAAAACCTATTTATGTAAGTCTGTATTTTTCTGTTTTCTTGGCCTTTGTGGGCAGTAGTGTGTTTTAACCGAGCAAACTGTCCTTCAAATAATGAAGCCGAAGTCAGCCTACCTGCTTGCCATGTTTCTTCCCCTTTCATTTTTCTAACCTCAGGATAATTGTAAGAATGAATTAAGATTTGTGTTTAAGGCCGGGCACAGTGTCTCAGGCCTGTAATCTCAGCACTCTGGGAGGCAGAGACGGATGTATCGCTTGAGCTCAGGAGTTCAAGACCAGCCTGGGCAACATATTGAGACTCTGTCTTGTATAATTAAATTAAAATTTAAAAAAAAAAAGAGGAAAAGACCTGTGTTTCAAATTTAAGAAAAGGGGGGAAGCGTAATGCAAAATGCGGACTATGCCAGCTATGATTGGGAAAAATAATTTTTCCTACAGCATTATCTGTAGACTTGTATTAGCAGCATACTGGTCATAAGCGTTTTGCTTTCCTCAAATATGATGAGGTAAGCTACTTTAATGTGTGGTGGGGCTTTCTTCCACGTGGCTCCTGGAGGTGTTCAGTCCCAATTTAGCCAAATAATTAGGGTTTAGTTTTGATATGTATAAGGGAGACGAGCTTCATTCATGGTGCACACACAGTTTTGCCAGTAAGGATAAAAAAAAGCAACCTGAATGTTTCCACTCATTAGATGCTATCTGGAGAGCTCCTACCCCACCCCCACCAAGGCCTGGGCCCTTAAAAAGGCTCAGTGCAGCCTTTCTGTATCTCATACTGTATTCTGCAAGATGCTCCTGTGAAAGAAAGTTGTGCTGCATCAGCCATCTCCCTCCTGAAGATCCCTGCGGATGAGGATTGGTGTTTTGAAGGTTCTGAGAAGACTGCAACAACAGTTCTCAAATTTATTTGTTCAGGGGATCTTTTCTTCCACTGAAAGTATTTGGGGAGACATGGCCTTAAGCCTTGAGCAGAGAAAGAGACAAGAAACTGTTGCCTCACTTACAACCAAGTGTTGTGTTTATGTTTTAGGTTTTTATGAAACTGAGGTGCTGTTTGAGGTTCTAAATGAAATTGGGTGGTTGAAGAGAGGCTGGTATCCCTGTAGACTTAGCCAGCCATGAGAGGTTGCTTTTTGTTGAAGGAGGTGTTTTACAAAGGGAAATAGGGTGTCTCCTGGGCATCGCATTAGCACTTAAATACATGTATCACTGAAATGTAATGAAATTATGAAAAGACGAAATGAAATGAAATGATGAAATGAAATGATGAAATGATGAAACGACTGATGAAATGAAGAAATGAAATGATGAAATGGTGAAATGAAATGAAATGATGAAATGAAGTGAAATGATGAAATGAAATGGTAAAATGAAGAAATGATGTGAAATGATGAAGTGAAATAATGAAATGATGAAATGATGAAATGAGGAAATGAAATGATGAATTGATGAAATGAAATGAATGACGAGATGAAAAGATGAAATGAAATGAAATAATGAAATGAGGAGATGAAAAGTTGAATTGATGAGATGAAATGAAGTCATGAGGTGAAATGATGAGATGAAATGAAATCATGAGATGAAATGATGAAATGATGAGATGAAGTGAAATGATGAAATGAAATGATGAGATGAAGTGAAATGAAATAAGGAAATGAAAGGATGAAATGATGAGATGAAATGAAATGATGAAATGGAATGATGAAATGAAATGATGAAATGATGAAATGGTGAAATGAAATGAGGAAATGAAATGAAATGATGAAATGAAATGATGAAGTAAAATGATGAAATGAAATGATGAAATGATAAAATGAAATGAAAAGTTCAAATGATAAAATGAAAAAATGATATGAAATGATGAAATGAAATCAAATGATGAAATGAAGTGAAATGATTAAATGATGAAATAATGAAATGAAATGAAATGATGAAATGATGGAGATGAAATGAAATGATCAAATGAAATGACGAGATAAAAGATGAAATGAAATGAAATGATGAAATGAATGATGAGATTAAAAGATGAAATGAAATGAGATGAAATGAAATCATGAGATGAAATGAAATCATGAGATGAAATAATGAAAAGATGAGATGAAGTGAAATGATGAAATGAAATGATGAAATGATGAAATGCAAACGATGAGATGAAATGATGAGGTGAAATGATGAAATGATTAAATGAAAAGATGAAATGATGAAATGATATAAAATGATGAAATGAAGTCAAATGAAATGATGAAACGAGATGATGAAATGATGAAATAAATGAAATGAAATGATGAATTGATGAAAGGAAATGACGAGATGAAAAGATGAAATGAAATGATGAGAGGAAGTGAAATGATGAGATGAAGTGAAATGATGAAATGAAATGTTGAGATGAAATGATGTAACGGAATGATGAAATGAAGTGATGAGATGAAATGATGAGATGAAATGAAATGATGAAATGAAAAGATGAAATGAAATGAAATGATGAAATGAGGAAATGAAATGAAATGATGAAATAGATGAACCAAAAATACTTATTCATTTTTTTCTTGGCATCCTTCTAAGAGTATTTTAGTGAGGTTAATTTCTAAAAACAAATTGCTATTCAATGGCTATACAAATGGCCTTTGCACCACAGGGGTTTGAACTGTGCAGGTCCACTTAGCAAAACCAACAATTCTACATCCTTCTCCACACCCTGCCCATGAAAAGGATGAGGATGAAGACCTGTTTTATCATCTACTTCCATTTAATAACTAGTAAATATATTTTCCTTCTGATTTTCTTTTTCTTTTCTCTGGCATGTTTGTTAAGAATACAGTATATAAGACATATAACATATTAAATATGGGTTAATTGAGTGTTTGTGTTATTTGTAAGGCTTACAGTAGGCTATTAGTAGTTAAGTTTTGGGGGTGTCAAAGTTATAGTGAATTTTCTACTGTGCAGTGGGGCCAGCACCCCAACCTCCATGTTGCTTAAGGGTCAACTGTACATGTTATTTCCTTTCCTGTAAGAGAAAAATGAGGAGAAGTTCTTTTCTCCAATAAGTGTATTCAAAATGTAGCAGACCTGAAATGTGTTGGCGCCACCATTTTGCGTCTCACTTTGAAAACTCATTATTAAAAATCGTACTAAAGCCTACCTTACTTTTCCAACCTTAGAAAAAATGTTACAAAGAAAAGGGGTGAAACCATGCTAGTTTGCACTGAAATTTGAAATTATCTTTTAAAAATATATTTTTACTTTAATTACTTCCAAAATAGAGATCAGTTGCAAACAAATGGCAGGTCACTCTAATCCACCCTATGACTGCACCTAGATTCATGAGGAATTGTGCCATCTAGAAAGGGCAGAGAAGAGGAATGGAGTGCTCTGCATCTTGAAATATAAACATGCACATAGCCAAGTGCTTTGATTCTCTTATCACTGTGTACTTAATGCTAGGAAGAGGGCATGTTTGTGTATTTTTATGCTAATTATTATCCAAGTTGTTAATGATTTAGGCTTTCAGAACCATATAAAGATTTTTTTCTTTCAGATATAAACTATCTTGCATTGTTCTTCTGATCATATGAGGGATAAATTTGCCTAAATATTCTTCAGACCATAATATGATGTCCATATAAATGCCAGTAGCAAGAGTAGAATCAACCACAACTGCCTTTGTAATTATGTAAGGCATGTGTGCCTATAAGTAATTGGCATTTTATATAATCAAGAATCTTTGATATACTAATCTCTCAACTATTTGAAACATGGCTCACATATATTAATTTTATATGCAAATATGTATATAACATCACTGTATATGAAACTAAATTTTGGACTTTAGAACAGCTTCTTAGAATCTTGACTTAAATGTCCACAGTAATATTTGACTTAAAAAAATTTAGCACACTGTCACTATGATGAAAAAAATACTATAAAATTATTTAAAAAATTTTTCCACCCTAACATTTAGAACATTCTCACATTTGTGGTTAAAACCTATTGTGATTGTTCTTAGAATTTAGATAAAAAATGTTCCAGAAAGTTTGAAGAGAAGCACTTTAGTCAATTTTTATTTGTTCAAGCATGAAGAAATGGAATTTCATTGACATTTTAAAAACTATTCAGATTCCCTCTTTGAATTGAAGTGTTTCAAAGATATCTTATTTTAAAATACCACAATAGGAATAGAATATGAAGGGCTGGTTATGAGTAATATGATACACTTTTATGAGAGGATGAGATTACAATAACAATACCTCCTCTCATAGAATAGCCAGCAAGTCTCCACTAAATAAGAGTGCCTTGATTTTATAGATGTTTAATCATGGATACTGAGCAAATGTGAACCATTGATAGACACAGGAGTTTATTAAGGAATTATGTAATATCTTTCAAGTATTTAGAATAGTGTTCAAATTAAGCCTGAATCCCCACGATTTTCAGAGTTGATGATGCCTAATAAACTCAACCCCTTGTATGCCAAAATTGGCTTAAGGCCCACCCGTTACCCAAGCTACACTTCAAGTATCAAAGTTCAAAAATGTAATTTTAAATATGCAAGAGTTTGAGGAATTCGCTACTCACACTTTCTTGAACAGTCTATCCAAGTGCATCAAGCAAGATGTGAGTAAAGAAATTTTGACCAAAGGATTGATAGTAATGTTGAATACATTTAATAGTAGATCTAAGATTAAAAGGTGAGAGTGAGGGTGAGAAGAATGTATGAATGCTTTGTGTTCTGACAAAGAGAATGTAGCACCCATGTCCTACCTGCTTGGTTGCATTGCCAGTGCCCACAGTAGGCTATTTTATCCAGGTTTTTAGTTTTTTGTTTTGTTTTGTTTTGTTTTGTTTTCTTTTCAGGAGAGTTAGTCCAAGACCAATAACTCCATAACTGGTAGAATTGGAAGACGTTAATAGTGCTTAACATTTTGTACATAGCTTTATAACAGTTTTCTTTTTCTTTTTTTCTGAGAGATTCTTTTCAATATACCCCATCATGGTTGAACTCAAAGTCATTGCTTATTTAAAATCTACAACTGCTGACGTTTTGTAACCTTCGCATTCCAGGTAATTGGTTTTTTGTGCGTTTTCTGTATTTTTCTTCATCACTCTACCTAGATATTTGTTAGATTTAATATTTTAATATTTTTCTGAAAAAGTGAGCTTTTGCATTTTTAAATATATACTCAGTTGCTTTAATTCTGCTTTTTCATGTACTGCTTCCTCCTTTTTTTTTTTTTTTTTTTTGAGGCGGAGTCTTGCTCTGTCACCCAAGCTAGAGTGCAGTGGCGTGATCTCAACTCACTGCAACCTCCAACCCCCACGTTCAAGCAATTCTCCCACCTCAGCCTCCCGAGTAGCTGGGATTACAGATGCATACCACCATGCCAGGCTAATTTTTGCATATTTAGTAGAGAGTGGGTTTCACCATGTTGGACCAGGCTGTTGTCGAACTCCTGACCTCAGGTGATCCACCTGACTCGGCCTCCCAAAGTGCTGGGATTACAGGTGTGAACCATGGAGCCTGGCTATTTCATTCTTTATGTTTATTTTACTGGTTTTATCTCTCTCTCTCTCTCACTGTTTCTCTCCTTCTCACATTCACTTTGCAGTTGTCAAATAGCCCAGGTGATGTTACAGATTTACTCCTTATAAAAGGAGGCATTACACATTACACATGCATCTTAGTGGCCTTACAAAAGTGTTTGGTTCATTTGTATTGACTTTAAAATATTTCAATATTCATTAAAATAGCTTCGAACCAATATTATTAGACCTACGTTTCTAGCTTTCTTTTTTGTATTGTTATCTACCTTCATTGCTGTTTAAGAAATATATTCTGTGTCACGTTATTTCCGTGAAAATTGTTTGAATTTGTGGTATGGTCTAGAAAATGTTAATTTTTGTAAGTATTCTGTATGAACATGAAAATAACATGAATTATAATATTCATGTTTCTTATATAACATTTGCCCTTTTTAAAATCCACTAGCTTTTTTTAAAACTTACTCTTTTAATTTTTTCTTTTATGTATTACTGAAAGATGTGTTTGAAATGTCTATAATGATTTGAGAGCTTATTCATTTCTACTTACTTTCTGATATTTTTGCTTTATATAATTTGACTCTCTCTCTAAATACGTGTGTGCGTGTGTGTGAGAGAGTGTGTGGTGTGTGTGCATATATGTATATATGTATCAGGCTAATGCACATTTAAGTCATCACATCTTCTTAATAACTTAAAACTTTTGTCACACTGGTTAGACTAACTTATTTTAATAAATGTTTCTAACTTACATTCTATTTTGTCTATATAGCAAGTTTTAAAAAATATTCATGTAGTATGTTTGTATGTATATCATATATACGCAGTATCTGTATTGTTTGAACTTCAAAGTTTCTGTAAATTTATATATTAGTTGCCTCTCTTGTAATTATGATAGAGATTTTTTTTTAATTTTGCCAATCTTTGTATTTTAACAAAAACATTGTCTACTTAGGTTTAAGTTAATCTTTGATCATTTATACTTAATTCGTTTTATTAATTTGTTGCATATATATATATATATATATATAATGTCTCATTTCTCCTATCAGTTTCTGTCTTCTTGTTTTTAAATTATGACTTTTATTTTTATTGTTTTCAAAAATAACAACAGAGAAATGCATAATGTCCAGTGAATTTATTAAAATTCCAAAGTCGGTCGCCCGCATGGCTCATGCCTGTAATCTCAACACTTCGGGAGGCCGAGGCGTGTGGATCACGAGGTCAGGGGTTGGAGACTAGCCTGACCAACATGGTGAAACCCCGTCTCTACTAAAAATACAGAAATTAGCCAGGCATTGTGGCACGTGGCTGTAATCCCCGCTACTCAGGAGGCTGAGGCAGGAGAATTGCTTGAACCTGGAAGGCAGAGGTTGCAGTGAGCCGAGATGGCGCCACTGCACTCCAGCCTGGGCGAAAGAGTGAGTGAGACTCCTTCTTAAAATAAATAAATAAATAAAGAGTTGCAACGTCATACTCACCTTTCTGCTGTTGTCAGACAATTAAGGGGTCTTTGAATACTTCAGCCCTAATAATTTGCTTCCTAACATACATATTGCAGTGCTTATCTAATTTTAAATATCTTTTTGTTTCAACACCTAATTTTTTCTTTAGATCTGTCTGTATGTTTACAATATATTTTGCTCTGTGTTCATACTTTGATTTCAGAACTTTAACTTTTCTGAAGCATGTTTTCAGAGTTTCTTTTTAGTTTCTTTAGTGGAATTCTGCTGGAGGCGTTTTGTTTTTTGTCTCTAAATATGTTATTTAGCCATAGGTTGATGAATATTTTTCTTGGTTTTGAATTTCAGAATGGCATTATTATTCTTAACAAACAAATAATATTGTTTATTTTACCTTTCATTCTTTCAGATTTCAATTTGATTAAAAGTAATTTGATTTTTCTAGTGCTAATTGAGATACTTTTCCCTTCCTGATTGTTTACTATTTCTCTAGGAGATAGGTAGGTGTAGGTTTATCTCCATTGTAGCTTGCTTAGCATGCATGGAATTTTTGAATATGCAGATTAGTGTCTTACAAAAGTCTAGAGAACTTTCAGCCAAAATACCATCACATATTGTCCCTTCCCAGTTCCCTTCTTCTATGAGAACACTCACTAAACACATGCTACACTTTCTCACTGTATGTTCCATGTCTCTTCATGATTCTGTCTACATTGTGCCTTTATTTAAATTTTCTGTAATGCATTCTGAAATATTTATGAACTCTCACCATGGCCATGTCTAATCTGATGAGTTCATTTTTGAGTTTTTAATTTAAAATACTATATTTTTATACAAACTACTTTTCAAATTTGCTACATCAATTTTTTAGTCTCCTAAAATATATTCTCTTTATTTTAAAATTTTTTAAAGCAAATGTGCTTTATAATCTAACAGTGATATTTCTACTAATGAACCTTTGTGGATCTGTTTGTACTCTTTTTCTGCTTTCCTTTCAAATGGTGGAATATCATTTCCTTGCGTACTTAGATGCCTTTGAATGACAAATATTTATTTTTCTCTGAAAATTATTTTTGTGCACTTTTGTGTATTAGTAAGAAGAAAACTTTCCAGAGAGAATTTGAATTTTTTTATGAGTCTACTAAAGGCACCACCATTCTGGGACCTCATTATGTTAATTCTTGGCCTAAAGGTGTTTGGACGTATGTTCGGACTGCATATCTAAACTATTTTTAAATTAATTGCTGTAAATCATTAATGATTGGGTTTCTTCAAATCTGTTCAATCTCAAGACATTTTTATTTGCCATTTCCAGGGAATGTGAAATGGGATTAATTTACCTCTGATTCTTCTTTATACTGAGGATAGAAATTTTGGTCCTAGCTTTAGGGAGGAGCTCCTGTGTGATGCCTTATCTTGGGAAAAACTATGTTTTTCTTTACTGTCCTATGTGATGTATGACAGTAGGAATCTGCACTCATTCATTTTGGTACATGTCCATAGGGCAAAATCAGTTTCGGTGTTTAGGTATATTTTGTCTGCTCGCTGCGTTCCCATGGTTTTGATATTATATTTTACTATTTTTTGTGAACATATCAATGCTTCAATTTTTTTCCAGTAATATAATCAACTATATTATGAGAAAGAAAAATTTTGATAAAACACAAATTTCATGTTTTCCTACTCTAATTGACTTTTACATAAAAATACAGGTAAAGTTTATTTGTGCTTTTTTGATATTTCTGTTTTGCTATTCTCTGTTTGTCTATGTCTTCTCCACATAGACACAATTAGGGAATTTTGTACACTCTTGTGAGAACAGCTTTGATATTAACAAAATGTATTTCTCGAACTCCTAGGTATAAAACTCAAGTATCTACAATTTAAATTCTTTTTCGCTCACTTCTATTATGTTTCCAGTCTCAGTAGAAATCTTTGCCCAACCAGGAATTCAAGCATTATTCTAATACTTCTCACACAACACAGATACAGATTAAATTTTCTAGATCTTCCTAAATACTATCATTTTTCACTACTTGAATCTTAACTGTTAAGTTCAAGGCTGGGTGACAGAGTGAGATATTCTCGAAACAAAAAAAAAATGGAATGGAATGCAGTGGAATGGAATGGAATGGAATGGAGTGGACTCGAGTGAAGGGATTGGAGTGAAGTGGAGTGGAGTGGAATGGAGATGAATGGAATGTGATGGAATGGAATGAAGTGGAGTGGAGTGGGGTGGACTGGAGTGTAGTGGAAAGGAGCGGAAAGGAATGGGACGGAGTGGAATGGAGTGGAATGGAGGTCAGTGGAGTGCAGAGGAGGGGAATGGAGTGGAATGGAATTGGATGTAATGGAATGTAGTGGAGTGCAGTGGAGTGGAACAGAGTGGAATGGAATGGAATTGCATGGAACGGAATGGAATGGAATGCAATGGAATGCAATGGAATGCAATGGAATAGAATGCAATGCAAAGGAAATTTGACATGTAATGTGAGCTGAGATTGGGCCACTGCACTCCAGCCTGGGTGACACAGTGATATCCTGTTGAAAGAAAGGAAAGAAATGCAATGGAGTGAAATGGAATGGAATGGAATGGAATGGGATATAGTGGAATGGAGAGGAATAGGGTGGAGTGGAGTGGAGTGGAGTGGAATGGAGTTTAGTGGAGTGGAGTGGAATGGAATGGGGTGGAGTGGAGTGGAGTGGAATGGAGTAGAGTGGACTGTAGTGGAGTGGAGTGGAAAGGAATGGAATGGAATGGAATTAAATGGAGAAAAGAAATGTGTGCTGAGATTCTGCCACTGCGCTATAGCCTGTGTGACAGAGGGAGATCCTGTCGAAAGAAAGGAGTGGAATGGAAGGGATTGGAATGGAATGGATTGGAGTGGAGTGGAGTGGAATTGAGTGGAGTGGAGTGGAGTGGAATGGAATGGAATGGTGAAATGAAATGTGAGCTGAGATTGTGCCACTGAACACCAGCCTGGGTGACAGAGTGAGTTCCTGTCAAAAGAAAGGAATGGAATGGAATGGAGTGTAATGGAAAGGGATGGAGTGGAGTGGAGCGGAAAGGAGTGGAATGGAATGGGATGGAATGGAAAGGAGTGGAGTAGACTGGAATGGAGTGGAGTGGAGTGGAATGGATTGGAGTGGAGTGGAGTGGATTGGAATGGAATGGAATGGAATGGAATGGAATGGAATGGAATGGTGAAATGAAATGTGAGCTGAGGTTGTGCCACTGTGCTACAAGCTGGGTGACAGAGTGAGATATTCTCGAAAGAAAGAAATGGAATGGAATGCAGTGGAATGGAATGGAATGGACTGGAATGGACTGGAGTGAAGTGGAGTGGGGTGAAGTGGAGTGGAGTGGAATGGAGAGGGATGGAATGGGATGGAATGAAGTGGAGTGGAGTGGGGTGGAGTGGAGTTCAGTGGAGTGGAGAGGAGTGGAATGGAGTGGAATGGAATAGGATGTAATGGAATATACTGGAGTGGAGTGGAGTGGAGTGGAAAGGAGTGGAATTGAATGTAAAGGAATGGAATGGAATGGAATGGAATGCAATGGAACGCAATGGAATAGAATGTAATGCAATGGAAAGTTGACATGTAATGTGAGCTGAGAATGTGCCACTGCACTCCAGCCTCAGTGACACAGTGATATCCTGTTGAAAGAAAGGAATGGAATGCAATGGAGTGAAATGGAATGGAATGGAATGGAGTGGAGTGGAGTGGAGTAGAATGGAGTAGAATGGAATGGGATGGAGTGGAATGGAATGGAGTGGAGTGGAGTGGAGTGAAACAGACTGGAATGGAAGGGGATGGAATGGAATGTAGTGGAATGGTGAAAAGAAATGTGAGCTGAGATTGTGCCACTGCACTCCAGCCTTTGTGACAGAGTGTGATCCTGTGGAAAAAAAGAAATGGAATGGAATGGAGTGGAATGGAATGGAATGGAGTGAAGTGGAGTGGAGTGGACTGGAGTGGAGTGGAGTGGAATGGAGGGGAGTGGAATGGAGTGGAGTGGAATGGAGTGGAATGGAATGCAGTGGAGTGGAGTGGAGTGGAATGGAATGGAGCATAGTGGAATGGAGTGGAATGGAATGCAGTGGAGTGGAGTGGAATGGAATGGAGTGGAATGGAATGGAATGGAGAGGAATGGAGTAGAGTGGAGTGGAATGAAGTGGAGTGGATTGGAGTGGAGTGGAATGGAATGGAGTGGAATGGAGTGGAGTGGAATAGACTGGAGTGGAGCGGAATGGAATGGAATGGAATGGAATGGAATGGAATGGAATGGAATGGAATGGAATGCAATGGAATGGAATGGAATGGAATGGAATGGAATTGAGAAAAGAAATGTGTGCTGAGGTTGTGCCACTGCACTACAACCTGTGTGACAGAGGGAGATCCTGTCAAAGAAAGGAGTGGAATGGAAGGGATTGGAATGAAATGGAATGGAATGGATTGGAGTTGAGTGGAGTGGGATTGAGTGGAGTGGAGTGGAGTGCAGTGGAATGGAATGGAATGGTGAAAGGAAATGTGAGCTGAGATTGTGCCACTGCACACGAGCCTGGATGACAGAGTGAGATCCTGTCCAAAGAAAGGAATGGAATGGAATGGAATGGAGTGGAGTCGAGAGGAATGGAGTGGAATGGAATGGGATGGAATGGAAAGGAGTGGAGTGGAGAGGAATGGAGTGGAGCAGAGTGGAGTGGAATGAAGTGGAATGGAATGGGATGGAATGGAAAGGAGTGGAGTGGACTGGAATGGAGTGGAGTGGAGTGGAATGGAATGGAATGGAATGGTGAAATGAAATGTGAGCTGAGATTGTGCCACTGTGCTCCAGGCTGGGTGACAGAGTGAGATACTCTCGAAAGAAAGGAATGGAATGGAATGCAGTGGAATGGAATGGAATGGAATGGAATGAAATGGAGTGGACTGGAGTGGAGTGGAGTGGAATGGAGAGGAATGGACTGGGATGGAATGGAATGGAATGAAGTGGAGTGGAGTGGGGTGGACTGGAGTGCAGTGGAAAGGAGCGGAAAGGAATGGGACAGAGTGAAATGGAGTGGAGTGGAGGTCAGTGGAGTGCAGAGGAGGGGAATGGTGTGGAATGGAATCGGATGTAATGGAATGTAGTGGAGTGGAGTGGAGCAGAGAGGAATGGAATGGAATTGAATTAAATGGAATGGAACGGAATAGAATGGAATGCAATGGAATGCAATAGAATAGAATGCAATGCAAACGAAAGTTGACATGTAATATGAGATGAGATTGTGCGACTGCACTCCAGCCTGGGAGACATAGTGATATCCTGTCGAAAGAAAGGAATGGAATGCAATGGAGTGAAATGGAATGGAATGGAATGGGACATAGTGGAATAGAGTGGAATGGAATGGAGTGGAGTGGAGTGGAATGGAATGGAATGGAGAAAAGAAATGTGTGCTGAGATTGTGCCACTGTGCTACAACCTGTGTGAAAGAGGGAAATCCTGTCGAAAGAAAGGAGTGGAATTGAAGGGATTCGAATGGAATGAAATGGAATGGATTGGAGTGGAGTGGAGTGGGATTGAGTGGAGTGGAGTGGAGTGCAGTGGAATGGAATGGAATGGTGAAAGGAAATGTGAGCTGAGATTGTGCCACTGCACACCAGCCTGGGAGACAGAGTGAGATCCTGTGAAAAAAAAGGGATGGAATGGAATGAATTTAGAAGGGAATGTAATGGAGTGGAGTGGAATGGAGTGGAGTGGAGTGGAAAGGAGTGGAATGGAGTGGGATGGAATGGAAAAGAGTGGAATGGATTGGAGGGGAGTGGAGTGGAATGAATTGGAGTGGAGTGGAGTGGAGAGGAGTGGAATGAAATGGAATGGAATGGAATGGTGAAATGAAATGTGAGCTGAGATTGTGCCACTGCACTCCAGGCTGGGTGACAGAGTCATATAATCTCGAAAGAAAGGAATGGAATGGAATGCAGTGGAATGGAATGGAATGGAGTGGACTGGAGTGGAGTGAAGTGGGGTGGAGTGGAATGGACAGGAATGGAATGGGAAGGAATGAAGCGGAGTGGCATGGGGTGGAGTGGAGTGCAGTGGAATGGAGCGGAATGCAATGGGATGGAGTGGAACGGAGTGGAGTGGAATGCAGTGGAGTGGAGAGGAGTGGAATGGAGTGGAATGGAATCGGATGTAATGGAATATAGTGGAGTGGAGTTGAGTGGAGTGGAATGGAGTGGAATAGAATGGAATTGAATGGAGTGGAATGGAATGGAATGGAAAGGAATGCAATGGAATGCAATGGAATAGAATGCAATGCAATGGAAAGTTGACATGTAATGTGAGCTGAGATTGTGCCACTGAACTTCAGCGTGGGTGACACAGTGATATCCTGTGGAATGGAACTGGATTAAATGGAATGGAATGGAATGGACTCGAATGGAATGGACTCGAATGGAATGGAAGGGACTTGAATGGAATCATCATCGAACGGACTCGAATAGAATCATCATCGAATGGACTCGAATGGAATCATCATCGAATGGACTCGAATGGAATCATCACCGAATGGACTCAAATGGAATCATCTTCAAATGGAACCGAATGGAATCATCATCAAATGGAATTGAATGGAATCATCAAATGGAGTTGAATGGAATCATCATCGAATGGAATAGAATGGAATCATCATCGAACGGAGTTGAATGGAGTCATCATTGAACGGAATCGAATGGAATCATCATTGAATGGAATCAAAAGGAATCATCATCGAATGGAATGGAATGGAGTCATCTAATGGAATCGAATGGAATCATCATCAAATGGAATCGAATGGAATCATTGAATGGAATCGAAGGGAGTCATCAAATGAAATTGAATGGAATCATAGAATGGAATTGAATCGAATGGAATCGCATGGAATCAAATGGAATGGAATTGAATGGGAGCTGAGACTGTGTCACTGAGTTCCAGGCTGGGTGACAGAGTGAGATACACTCGAAAGAAAGGAATGAAATTGAATTCAGTTGAATGGAATGAAATGGAATGGAGTGGACTGGAGTGGAGTGGAGTGGAGTGAAGTGTAGTGGAGTGCAATAGAGAGGAATGGAATGGGATGGAATGAAATGAAATGAAGTGGAGTGGAGTGGGGTGGAGTGCAGTGCAGTGGAATGGAGTGGAATTTAATGAGATGGAATGGAAAGGAGTGTAGTGGACTGCAGTGGAGTGGAGAGGAGTGGAATGGAGTGGCATGGAATCGGATGTAATGGGATGTAGTGGAGTGGAGTGGAGTGGAAAGGAACACAGTGGAATGGAATGGAATGGAATGGAATGGAAAGGAATGGAATTGAATGCAATGCAATGCAATGCAATGGAATAGAATGCAATGCAATGGAAAGTTGACATGTAATGTGAGCTGAGATTGTGCCACTGCACTCCAGCCTGGGTGACACAGTGATATCCTGTCGAAAGAAAGGAATGGAATGCAATGGAGTGAAATGGAATGGAATGGAATGGAGTGGAGTGGAGTGGAGTGGAGTGGAATGGAATGGAATGGAATGGAATGGAATGGAATGGAATGGAATGGAATGGAATTGAAATGAATCGAATCAAATCGAACAGAATGGAATCAAATCAAATGGAATTGCATGGAATGGAAAGGAATGGAATGGGAGCTGAGATTGTGCCACTGCACTCCAGCCTGGGTGACAGAGTGAGAAACTCTCGAAAGAAAGTAATGGAATGGAATGGAGTGGAATGGAATGGAACGGAATGGAGTGAACCTGAGTGGAGTGGAGTGGAGTGGAGTGGAGTGGAATGGAGTGGAATGGAATCGGATGTTATGGAAAGTAGTGGAATGGAATGGAATAGAATGGACTGGAATGGACTGGAATGGAATGGAATCGAATGGAATGGACTCGAATGGATTGGAATGGACTCGAATGGAATGAAATGGACACGAATGGAATCATCCTCGAATAGACTCAAATGGAAGCATCATCAAATGGACTCGAATGGAATCATCATCAAATGCACACCAAAGAAATCATCATCGAATGAACTCGAATGGAAGTGTCATCAAATGGACTCAAATGGAATCATCATCGAATGGATTCGAATGGAATAATCATCGAATGGACTCGAATTGAATTGTGATCACATGGACTCAAATGGAATCATCATTGAATGGACTCGAATAGAATCGTGCTAGAATGGAGTCGAAAGGAATCGTCATCGAATAGAATTGAATGGAATCATCGTTGAATGGACTCGAATGGATTCATCATTGAATGGACTCCAATGGAATCGTCATCAAATGGAATCAAATGGAATCGTCTTTGTATGGAATTGAATGGAATCATCATCAAATGGAATTGAATGGAATCATCATTGAATGGAATCGAATGGAATCATTATAAAATGTAATCGATTGGAATCATCATCAAATGGAATCGAAAGGAATCATCGAATGGAATCGAATGGAATCATCGAATGGAATCTAATGGAACAATCATCAAATGGAATCGAATGGAATCATCGAATGGAATCAAAAGGAATCAGCGAATGGAATTGAATGGAATCATTATCAAATGCAATCACATGGAATCATCATTGAATGGAATTGAACAGAATCATCAAGTGGAACCGAATGGAATCATTGAAGGGAATCGAATGGAATCATGATTGAATGGAATCGAATGGAATTATAGAATGAAATTGAATGGAATCATTGAATGGAATCGAAGGCAATCATTGATGGACTCGAATGGATTCATCAACGAATGGACATGAATGGAATCATCATCAAATGGACTCGAATGGAGTCATCATCTAATGGAATCGAATAGAATCAACATCGAATGGACTCCAATGGAACCATCGAAAGGAATCGAATGGAATCATCGAATTTAATCAAAGGGAATCATTATCAAATGCAGTCGAATGGAATCATCATCAAAGGGAATCGAATGGAATCATCGAATGGAATCATCGAATGGAATCATCATCGAATGGAATCGAATGGAATCATCAAATGGAATCAAATGGAATCGTCAAATGGAATTGAATGGAATCATCATCGAATGGAATCATCAAATGGAATCGAATGGAATCATCATCAAATGGAATCGAATGGAATTATTGAATGGAATCGAATGGAATCATTGAATGGAATTGAAAGCAATCATTGAATGGACTCTAATGGAATCATCATCGAATGGACATGAAAGGAATCATCATCAAATGGACTCGAATGGAATCATCATTGAATGGACTCGAATGGAATCCTTATCAAATGGACTCTAATGGAGTCATCATCGAATGGAATCGAATGGAATCAACATCAAATGGTCTCGAATGTAATCATCGAATGGAATCGAATGGAATCATCAAATTTAATCGAACAGAATGATTATCAAATGCAATCGAATGGAGCCATCATCGAATGGACTTGAATGGAGTCATCATCGAATGGAATCTAATGGAAACAACATTGAATGGACTCGAATGGAATCATCGAATGGAATCAAATGGAATCATCAAATTTAATCGAATGGAATCATTATCGAATGCAATCGAATGGAACCATCATCGAATAGACTCGAATGGAATCATCATCGAATGGACTCGAATGGAATCATCGTCAAATGGACTCGGATGGAATCATCTTCGAATGGACTCGAATGGAGTCATCATCAAATGGACTCGAATGGAGTCATCATGGAATGGACTCGAATGGAATCATCATCAAATGGACTCGAATGGAATCATCATCGAATGGACTCAAATGGAGTCATCGTGGAATGGACTTGAATGGAGTCATCATCGAATGAACTCGAATGGAATCAACATTGAATGGACTCGAATGGAATCATCGAATGGAATCGAATGAAATCATCAAATTTAATCGAATGGAATCATTATCGAATGCAATCGAATGGAACCATCATCGAATGGAATCGAATGGATCATCGAATGGAATCGAATGGAATCATCGAATGGAATGGAATGGAATGGAATCATCATCGAATGGAATCAAATGGAATTATCAAATGGAATCGAATGGAATCTTCAAATGGAATTGAATGGAATCATCATCAAAAGGAATCGAATGGAATCATTGAATGGAATTGAATGGAATCGAATGTAATTATTGAATGGAATCGAATGGAATCATTGATTGGAATACACTGCAATCATTGAACGGACTCGAATGGAATCATCATGGAATGGACATGAATGGAATCATCATCGAATGGACTTGAATGGAATCATCATCGAATGGAATCGAGTGGAATCATCATCCAATGGACTCGAATGGAATCATCATCGAATGGACCTGAATAGAATAATCATCGAATGGACTCGGATGGAATCGTCATCCAATGGACTCGAATGGAATCATCATCGAATGGACTCGAATGGAATCATCATCAAATGGACTCGAATGGAGTCATCATTGAATGGAATCGAGTGGAATCATCATCCAATGGACTCGAATGGAATCATCATCGAATGGACCTGAATAGAATAATCATCGAATGGACTCAGATGGAATCGTCATCCAATGGACTCGAATGGAATCATCATCGAATGGAATCGAATGGAATCATCGAATGGACTCGAATGGAATCATCATCGAATGGACTCGAATGGAATCATCATCAAATGGACTCGAATGGAGTCATCATTGAATGGAATCGAGTGGAATCATCATCCAATGGACTCGAATGGAATCATCATCGAATGGGCTCGAATAGAATCATCATCAAATGGCTCGAATGGAATCGTCATCCAATGAACTCGAATGGAATAATCATCGAATGGAATCGAATGGAGTCATCATCGAATGGACCCAAAAGGAATCATCATGGAATGGACTCAAATGGAATCATCATCAAATGGACTCGAATGGAATCATCATCGAATGGACTCAAATGGAGTCATCATGGAATGGACTTGAATGGAGTCATCATCGAATGAACTCGAATGGAATTATCATTGAAGGAAAACGAATAGAGTCATCATCGCATGGAATCGAATGGAATCATCATTGAATGGACTCAAATGGAGTCATCATCGAATGTACTCGAATGGAGTCATCATCAAAAGGACACAAATGGAATCATCACCGAATGGACTCGAATGGAATCATCATTGAATGGAATAAAATGGAATCATCATCGAAAGGAATCGAATGGAATCATCATCGAATGGAATCGAATGGAATCCTCGAATGGAATCGACTAGAATGGAATCCAATGGCATCGAATAGAATCGAATGGAATGGGAGCTGAGATTCTGCCACTGCGCTGCAGTCTGGGTGACAGACTGAGATACTCTCGAAAGAAGGGAATGGAATGGAAAGCAGTGGAAAGGAATGGAATGGAATGGAGTGGACTGGAGTGGATTGGAGTGAAGTGCAAAGCAGTGGAATGGAATGGGATGGAATGGAATAGAATGAAGTGGAGTGGAGTGGGGTGGATTGGAGTGCAGTGGAATGGAGCAGAATGGAATGGGTTGGAATGGAAAGGAGTGGATTGGAGTGCAGTAGATTGGAGAGGAGTGGAATGGATTTGAATGGAATCGGTGTAATGAAATGTAGTGGAGTGGAGTGGAACAGAGTGGAATGGAATGGAATGGAATAGAATTAAATGGAATGGAACGGAATGGAATTGAATGGAATGGAATGGAATGGAATGGAATGGAATGGAATGGAATGGAATGAAATGGAATGCAATTGAATGTCATGGAATAGAATGCAATGCAATGGAAAGTTGACATGTAGTCTGAGCTGAGATGGTGCCAGTGTACTCCAGCCTGGGTGACACAGTGATATCCTGTCGAAAGAAAGGAATGGTATGCAATGGAGTGAAATGGAATGGAATGGAGTGGAGTGGAGTGGAGTGGAATGGAATGAAATGGAATGGAATCGAATCGAATAGCATAGAATGGAATCAAATGGATTGGAATCGAATGGAATCAAATCAAATGGAATCGAATGGAATCGAATGGCATGGAATGGAATGGAATGGAATGGGAGCTGAGATTATGCCACTGTGCTCCAGGCTGGGTGACAGAGTGAGATACTCTTGAAATAAAGGAATGGAATGGAATGCATTGGAATGGAATGCATTGGAATGGAATGGAATGGAATGGAGTGGACTGGAGTGAAGTGGAGTGGAGTGAAGTGGAGTGGAGTGGAGAGGAGTGGAATGTAGTGGAATGGAACTGGATTAAATGGAATGGAATGGAATGGACTCGAATGGAATGGACTCGAATGGAATGGAAGGGACTTGAATGGAATCATCATCGAACGGACTCGAATAGAATCATCATCGAATGGACTCGAATGGAATCATCATCGAATGGACTCGAATGGAATCATCACCGAATGGACTCAAATGGAATCATCTTCAAATGGAACCGAATGGAATCATCATCAAATGGAATTGAATGGAATCATCAAATGGAGTTGAATGGAATCATCATCGAATGGAATAGAATGGAATCATCATCGAACGGAGTTGAATGGAGTCATCATTGAACGGAATCGAATGGAATCATCATTGAATGGAATCAAAAGGAATCATCATCGAATGGAATGGAATGGAGTCATCATCTAATGGAATCGAATGGAATCATCATCAAATGGAATCGAATGGAATCATTGAATGGAATCGAAGGGAGTCATCAAATGAAATTGAATGGAATCATAGAATGGAATTGAATCGAATGGAATCGCATGGAATCAAATGGAATGGAATTGAATGGGAGCTGAGACTGTGTCACTGAGTTCCAGGCTGGGTGACAGAGTGAGATACACTCGAAAGAAAGGAATGAAATTGAATTCAGTTGAATGGAATGAAATGGAATGGAGTGGACTGGAGTGGAGTGGAGTGGAGTGAAGTGTAGTGGAGTGCAATAGAGAGGAATGGAATGGGATGGAATGAAATGAAATGAAGTGGAGTGGAGTGGGGTGGAGTGCAGTGCAGTGGAATGGAGTGGAATTTAATGAGATGGAATGGAAAGGAGTGTAGTGGACTGCAGTGGAGTGGAGAGGAGTGGAATGGAGTGGCATGGAATCGGATGTAATGGGATGTAGTGGAGTGGAGTGGAGTGGAAAGGAACACAGTGGAATGGAATGGAATGGAATGGAATGGAAAGGAATGGAATTGAATGCAATGCAATGCAATGCAATGGAATAGAATGCAATGCAATGGAAAGTTGACATGTAATGTGAGCTGAGATTGTGCCACTGCACTCCAGCCTGGGTGACACAGTGATATCCTGTCGAAAGAAAGGAATGGAATGCAATGGAGTGAAATGGAATGGAATGGAATGGAGTGGAGTGGAGTGGAGTGGAGTGGAATGGAATGGAATGGAATGGAATGGAATGGAATGGAATGGAATTGAAATGAATCGAATCAAATCGAACAGAATGGAATCAAATCAAATGGAATTGCATGGAATGGAAAGGAATGGAATGGGAGCTGAGATTGTGCCACTGCACTCCAGCCTGGGTGACAGAGTGAGAAACTCTCGAAAGAAAGTAATGGAATGGAATGGAGTGGAATGGAATGGAACGGAATGGAGTGAACCTGAGTGGAGTGGAGTGGAGTGGAGTGGAGTGGAATGGAGTGGAATGGAATCGGATGTTATGGAAAGTAGTGGAATGGAATGGAATAGAATGGACTGGAATGGACTGGAATGGAATGGAATCGAATGGAATGGACTCGAATGGATTGGAATGGACTCGAATGGAATGAAATGGACACGAATGGAATCATCCTCGAATAGACTCAAATGGAAGCATCATCAAATGGACTCGAATGGAATCATCATCAAATGTACACCAAAGAAATCATCATCGAATGAACTCGAATGGAAGTGTCATCAAATGGACTCAAATGGAATCATCATCGAATGGATTCGAATGGAATAATCATCGAATGGACTCGAATTGAATTGTGATCACATGGACTCAAATGGAATCATCATTGAATGGACTCGAATAGAATCGTGCTAGAATGGAGTCGAAAGGAATCGTCATCGAATAGAATTGAATGGAATCATCGTTGAATGGACTCGAATGGATTCATCATCGAATGGACTCCAATGGAATCGTCATCAAATGGAATCAAATGGAATCGTCTTTGTATGGAATTGAATGGAATCATCATCAAATGGAATTGAATGGAATCATCATTGAATGGAATCGAATGGAATCATTATAAAATGTAATCGATTGGAATCATCATCAAATGGAATCGAAAGGAATCATCGAATGGAATTGAATGGAATCATCATCGAATGGATTCGAATGCAATCATCATAGAATTGAATCGAATGAAATCATTGAATAGAATCGAATGGAATTATCATCGAATGGAATCAAATGGAATCATCATCGATTGGAATCAAATGGAAGCAATGAATGGAATCAAATGGAATCATTGAATGGAAGCAAATGGAAACGAATGGAATCATCGAATGGAATGGAATGGAATCATCATTGAATGGAATCAAAAGGAATCATCATTGATGGGAATCGAATGGAATCATCATCGAATAGAATCAAAAAGAATCATCATCGATGGGAATCGAATGGAATCATCATCAAACGGAATTGAACGGAATCATCATGGAATGGAATGGAATCATCATTGAATGGACTCGAGTGGAATCATCATCAAATGGAATCATCATCGAAAAAAATCCAATGGAATCATCATCAAAAAAAATCCAATGGAATCATCATCAAATCCAATCAAATGGAATCATCATCAAAAGGACTCAAATGGAAACATCATTAAATGTAATCATTATCGAATGGAATCATCATCGAATGGACTCAAATGGAATCATCATCGAATGGACTCGAATAGAATCATCATCGATTGGACTCAAAAGGAATCACCATCGAATGGACTGGAATGGAATCATCACCGAATGGACTCGAATGGAGACATCATTGAATGGAATCGAATGGAATCATTGAAAGGAATCGAATATAATCATCAAATGGAATCGAATGGAATCATTGAATGGAATCGAATGGAATCATCAACTAGAATAGAATGGAATCATCAACTAGAATCGAATGGAATCATGGAATGGAATCGAATGGAAATATCATCGAATTGAATCAAATGAAATCATCCAATTGAATCGACCAGAAGTATCATTGAATGAAGTTGAATGGCATCATCAAATGGAACCTAATGGAATCATTATCGAGTGGAATCAAATGGAATCATCGAATAGAATCAAAAGGAATCATCATCAAATGGACCCTAATGGAACCATCATCGAATGGAATCAAATGGAATCATCATCGAATGGACCCTAATGGAACCATCATCGAATGGACACGAATGGAATCACCATCGAATGGAGTCGAATGGAATCGTCATCAAAAGGAATTGAAAGAAAACATCATTGAATGTAATCAAATGGAATCAACATTGAAAGGAATCGAATGTAATTATCATCAAATGGAATTGAAAGGAATCATTATCCAATTGTATTGAAAGGGATAATCATCAAATGGAATCGAATGGATTCATCATTGAATGGAACAGAATGGAATCTTTGAATGAAATCAAATGGAATCATCAAATAGAAGCAAATGGAATCCAATGGAATCATCGAATGGAAACTAACGGTATCATCATCGAATGGAATTGATTGGAACCATCATCGAAAGGAATCGAATGGAATCATCATGGAATGGAATCGAATGGTATAACTGAATGGAATCGAATGGAATCATCATCGAATGGAATCGAATGGAATCATAGAAAGGAATCAAATGGAAATATCATCAAATGGAATCCAAAGGAATCATCGAATGGAATCAAATGGAATCACTGAATGGAATCGAATGAAATCATCATTGAATGGAATCGAATGGAATCATCAAATGCAATCAAATGAAATCATCATCAAATGGAATCGAATGGAAACATCATCGAATGGCATCAAATGGAATTATCATCGAATGGAATTGAATGGAAATATCATCGAATTGAATCGAATGGAATCATCATCAAATGGAATCGAACGGAATCATCATATATTGGAACCGTATAAAATCATTGAGTGGAATCGAATGGAATTATCATCGAATGGAATCAAAAGGGACCATCATCGAATGGAATCGAATGGAATCATCATCGAATGGAATTGAATGGAATCATCATCAAATTGAATTGAATGGAATCATTGAATAGAATCAAATGGAATCATCGAATGGAAGCAAATGGAATCATTGAATGAAATCATTGAATAGAATTAAATGGAATCATCATAGAATGGAATCGAATGGTATCATCGATTGGAATCTAATGGAACCATCATCGAATGGAATTGAATGGAATCTTCTAATGGAATCGAATGGAATCATCATCGAATGGAATCAATTGGTATCATCATCGAATGTAAATGGATGGAGTCATCATTGCATGGAATCAAATGGAATCATGAATGAATCGAATCGAATGGAATCATCATCAAATGGAATCATCATCGAATGGAATTGAATGGAATCATCATCGAATGGAATCAAATGGAATCATCATCAAAAGGAATCGAATGGAATCATTGAATTGAATCTAATGGAATCATCAACTGGAATTGAATGGAATCATCAAATGGAATCGAATGGAATCATCATTGAATGGAATCTAAAGGAATCATCTAATGGAATTGACCAGAAGTATCATCAAATGAAATCGAATGGAATCATCGAATGGAAATGAATGGAATAATTATCGAGTGGAATCAAAATGGAATCGTGGTATGGAATTGAATGGAATCATCATCAAATGGACTCTAATGGAATCATCATCGAATGGACTCGAATCGAATCATCAAATGGACTCGAATGGAATCATCATCAAAAGGAATTGAATGGAATCATCATTGAATGTAATTGAATGGAAACATCATTGAATGGATTCAAATGGAATTATCATCAAATGGAAAGGAAAGAAATCATTATCCAATTGAATTGAATGGGATCATCACCGAATGGAATCGAATGCATTCATCATCAAATGGAATCAAATGGAATCATTGAATGGAATCGAATGGAATCATCAAATGGAAGCAAAAGGAAACAAATGGAATCATTGAATGGAATCAAATGGAATCATCATCAAATGAAATCCAATGGAATCATCGAATGGAATCGCATGGTATCATCATCGAATGGAATTCATTGGGACCATCATCGAAAGGAATCGAATGGAAGCATCATCGAATGGAATCGAATTGTATCATTGAATGGAATCGAATGGAATCATCATTGAATGGAATCAAATGGAATCATCAAAAGGAATCAAATGGAATCATCATCAAATGGAATCCAAAGGAATCATCGAATGGAATTGAATGGAATCATCATTGAATGGAATCGAATGGAATCATCAAATGGAATCACATGGAATCATCGAATGGAAGCAAATGGAATCAAATAGAAACATCGAATAGAATCAAAAGGAATCATCATCGAATGGAAACGAATGGAATCATTGAATGCAATCGAATGAAATCATCGTCGAATGTAATCGAATGGAATCATCGAATGGAATCCAATGAAATCATCATCGAATGGAATCGAATGGAAACATCGTCAAATGAATTCGAATGGAATTATCATCGAATGAAATTGAATGGAATCATCATCGAATGGAATCGAATGGAATCACCATCAAATGGAATGGAATTGAATCATCATCAATTGGAATCGAATGGAATCATCGAATGGAATCGAATGAAATCATCATCGAATGGAATCGAATGAAGTCATCATTGAATGGAATTGATTGGAATCATCATCAAATGGAATCGAATGGAATCATTGAATAGAATTGAATGGAATCATCAAATGGAATCAAATGGAACCATCGAATGGAATCATCAAACAGAATCGAATGGAATAATCATCCAATGGAATCGAATGGAATTATCGATTGGAATCAAATGGAATCATCGTCGAATGGAATCTAATGGAATCTTTGAATGGAATCAAATGGAATCATCATTGAATGGAATCCAATGGAATCATCAAATGGAATTGAACGGAATCATCATCGAATGTAAATGGATGTAGTCATCATTGCATGGAAACGAATGGAATCATCATAGAATGGAATGGAATAGAATCATCGTCGAATGGAATCGAGTGGAATCAACAGTGAATGGAATCGAATGGAATCCTCATCAAATGGAATTGAATGGAATCATGGAATGCAATCGAATGGAATTATCATTGGTTCGAATCGAATGCAATCGTCATTGGATGGAATCGAAATAAATCATCATCGAATGGAATCGAATGAAATCATGGAATGGATTCGAATGAAATCATCATCGAGTGGAATCCAGTGGAATCATCGAATGGAATCGAATGGAATCATCATTGAATGGAATCAAATGGAATCATCGAATGGAATCGAATGAAATCATGATCGGATGGACACAAATGGAATCATCATCAAATGGACAAAAATGCAATCATCATCAGATGGACTCAAAGGTAATCGTCATCAGATGGACTCTAATGGAATCATCATCAGATGGACTCAAATGGAATCATCATCGAATTGATTCAAATGGAATCATCAGCGAATGGAATCGAATGGAATCATCATCGATTGGAATCGAATGGAAGCAACGAATGGAATTGAATGGAATCATCGAATGGAATTGAATGGAAACATCATCGAATGGAATTGAAAGGAATCATCATTGAAGGGAATCAAATGGAATCCTCATTGAATGGAATTGAATGGAATCATCATCAAATGGAATTCAGTGGAATCATCATCGAATGGAATCGAATGGAATCATCTTCGAATGGACTCGAGTGGAATCATCATCGAATGGAATCATCATTGAAAAAAATCGAATGGAATAATCATCAAATCGATTCGAATGGAATCATCATCCAATGGAATCGAATGGTATCATTGAATGGAATCAAATGGTATTGTCATCGAATGGAATCGAATGGAATCATTGAAAGGAATCAAATGGAATCATCATCAAATGGAATTCAAAGGAATCATTGAATGGAATTGAATGGAATCATCATCGAATGGAATAGAATAAAATCATCATCGAATGGAATCGAATGGAATCATCATTGAATGGAATCGAACGGAATCATCGAATGGAATCGAATGAAATCATCATCGAATGGAATCGAATGGAAACATCATCGAATGGAATCAAATGGAATTATCGTCGAATGGAATTGAATGGAATCATCATTGAATTGAATAGAATGGAATAGAATGGAATCATCCTAGAATGGAATCCAATGGAATCATCAAATGGAATCGAATGGAATCATCATCAAATGGAATCAAATGGAATCATCATCGAATGGAATCGAAGGAATCATCGAATGGAATCGAATGGCATCATTGGATGGACACGAATGGAATCATCATCGGATTGACTCAAATGGAATCGTCATCGGATAGACTCTAATGAAATCATCATCGGATGGAATTGAATGGAATCATCGAATGGAATCATCATCGAAAGGACAAGAATGGGATCATCATTGAATGCACTTGAGAGGAATCATCATCAAATGGACTCGAATGGAATCATCATAGAATTGAATCCAATGGAATCACCGAATGGAATTGAATGGAATCATCATCAAATGGAATTGAATGGAATCATCATCGAATGGAATCATCATTGAATGGAATCGAGTCATCATTAAATGAACTCGAACGGAATCATCGAATGGAATCAAATGGAATTATCAATGAATGGAATCAAATGGAATCATCATTGAATGGAATCGAATGGAATCATCATCGAATGGAATCAAATGGAATCAGCATCAAATGCAATCAAATGGAATCATTGAATGTAACCTAATGGAATCATTGAATGGAATAAAATGTAATCTAAAGTAATCTTTGAATGGAATCGAATGGAATCATCATCAAATGGATTCTAATGGAATCATCTAATGGAATCAAATGGAATCATCATTGAATGGAAACGAAAGGAATCATCGAATGGAATCAAATGGAATCGTGGTCTAATGGAATCCAAAGGAATCGTCGAATGGAATCGAATGGAATCATCACCAAATATAATCGAATGGACTCATTATCAAATTGAATCGAATGGAAACATCATCAAATGGATTCGAATGGAATCATCAAATGGAATCGATTGGAATCATCGAATGGAATCGAATGGAATCATCATCGAATGGAAATGAATGGAATCAAATCAAATCATTGAATGGAATCAAATGGAATCATCATCAAATGGAGTCGAATGGAATCATCAAATGGAATCAAATGGAAACATCATCAAATGGAATCGAATGGAGTCATCAAATGGTATCAAATTGAATCATCATCGAATGGAATCCCATGGAATCATCAAATGGAATCGAATGGAATCATCAAATGGAATCAAATGGAAACATCATCAAATGGAATCAAATGGAAACATCATCAAATGGAATCGAATGGAGTCGAATGGAATCATCGAATGGAATCAAATGGAAACATCATCAAATGGAATCGAATGGAGTCATCGAATGGAATCAAATTGAATCATCATCGAATGGAGTCCCATGGAATCATCAACTGGAATCGAATGGAATCATCGAATGGACTCGAATGGAATCATCGAATGGAATCCAATGGGATCTTCATTGAATGGAATCAAATGGAATCATCATCAAATGGAATCGAATGGAATTATTGAATGGAATAGAATGGAATCATCATCGGATGGACACGAATGGAATTATCATCAGATTGACTTGAATGGAATTGTCATCGGATGGACTCTAATGGAATAATCATCATATGGAATCTAATGGAATCATCAAATGGAATCATCATCGAATGGACTGTTATGGAATCATCATCAAATTGACTCAAATGGAATCACAATCGAATGGACTTGAATGGAATCATCATCGAATGGAATCCACTGGAATCATCAAATAGAATTGAATGGGATCATCATCTAAAGCAATTGAATGGAATCATTATGGAATGGAATTCAATGGAATCACCTAATGGAAATGAATGGAATCATCATAGAATGAAATCGAATGGAATCATCATCGAATGGAATCAAATGGAATCATCATCGAATGGAATCAAATGGAATCATCATCGAATGGAATCGAATGGAATCATCAAATGAACTCGAATGGAATCACAATCGAATGGACTCGAAAGGAATCATCATCAAATGGACTTGAATGGAATCATCATCAAATGGAATCCAATGGAATCATCAAATGGAATTGAAAGGAATCATCATCGAATGGTATGAAATGGAATCATCTTCGAATTGATTATTAATGGAATCATCAAAAGGAATCAAATGGAATCATCAAGTGGAATCGAATGGAATAATCAAACGGAATGAAATGGAGTCATAGAATGGAATCGAATGGAATCATCGAATGGAATCGAATGGAATCATCATCGAATGGACTTGAATGGAATCATCATTGGATGGACTCGAATGGAATCATCATAGGATGGACTCGAATGGAATCATCATTGGGTGGAATTGGATGGAATCTTCATGGGTTGGAATCGAATGGCAAGATCATCAGATGGAATCAAATGGAATCATCATCGGATGGAATCTGTTGGAATCACTATCGGATGGATTTTAATTGAATCATCATCAAACGGGATCGAATGGAATCATCATCCAATGGAATCAAATGTTGTCAGAAGGAATCTAATGGAATCATTGTCAGATGGAATCGAATGGAATAATCATCCGGTGGAATTGAATGGAATCATCATCACATGGAATCGAATGGAATCAATTTCAGATGGAATTGAATGGAATCATCATCAGATGGAATCAAATGGGATCATCATCGGATGAGATTGAATGGAATCATCATTGAATGAAATGGAAGGGAATCATCAATTAGAATCTTCTTCCAATGCACATGAATGGAATCATCATTGGATGGACTCATATGGAATCAGCATCGAATGGACTCAAATGCAATCATCATCAGATGGACTCGAAAGTAATCATCATCGGATGGAATCGAATGGAATCATCATCAAATGGAATCGAATGGAATCATCAACGGATGGAATTGAATGGAATCATCATCAGATGGAATCAAAGGGAATCATCGAATGGAATCATCATCGAATGGACTCGAATGGAATCATCATCAGATGGACCCAAATGGAATCATCATTGGATGGACTCTAATGGAATCATCATCGGATGGACCCGAATGGAATCATCATCAGATGGACTCAAATGGAATCATCATTGGATGGACTCGAATGGAATCATCATTGGATGGACTCAAATGGAATCACCATTGGATGGACACGAATGGAATCATCATTGGATGAAGAAGAATGGAATCATCATTGGATGGACTCAAATGGAATCATCATCGGATGGAATCGAATGGAATCAGCATCAAATGGAATCGAACGGAATAATCAAATGGAATAGAATGGAATCCTCATCAAATGGAAACGAATGCAATCATTGAATGGAATGGAAAGGAATCGTCATCAAATGAAATAGAATAGAATCATCGAATGGAATCTAATGGAATCATCATCGAATGGAATCCAATGGAATCATCGAATGGCATTGAAGGGAATCATCATCGAGTAGAATCAATTGGAACCATCATTGAACGGAATCGATTGGAATCATCATTGATTGGAATCGAATGGAATCATCGAATGAAACCGAATGGAGTCATCTAATGGAATCGATTGGAATCATCAAATGGAATTGAATGGAATCGAATGGAATCATCAAATGGAATCAAATGGAATCACCATCGAATGGAATCGAATGGAATCATCACTGAATGGAATTGAATGGAATTGAATGGAATCATCAAATGGAATCAAATGGAATCACCATTGAACGGAATCGAATGGAATCATCACAGAATGGAATTGAATGTAATCATGGAATGGAATCGAATGGAATCATCGAATGGAATCTAATGGAATCATCACCGAATGGGCAAGAATGGAATCATCATTGGATGGATTTGAATGAAATCATCATTGGTTGGAATCTAATGGAATCATCATCGAATGGAATCGAATAGAATGATAAACTCATGGAATCGAATGGAATCATCACCGGAAGGAATCAGGCAGAATCATCATCCAATGGAATCAAATGGAATAATCATCGGTTGGAATCGAAGGGAATCATCATTGAATGGAATCTAATGGAATCATCATCGAATGGAATTGAACAGAATCATCATGGAATGGAATCGAATGGAATCATCGAATGGAATCAAATGGAATCATTGAATGGAATGGAATGGAATCATCTAATTGAATAGATTGGAATCATAATCGAATGGAATAGAATGGAATCATAATCAAATGGAATAGAATGGAATCATAATCGAATGTAATCAAATGGAATCATCGAATGGAATCGAATGGGGTCATTGAATGGAATCGAATGGAATCATCGAATTTAATTGAATGGAATCATCATGAAATGGACTCGAATGGAATCATCGATTGATCTCAAATGAAATCATCATTGCATAGACTCGAATGCAATCATCCTCGAATGGACTAGAATGGAATCATCATTAGATGGACACGAATAGAATCATCATCGAATGGATTCAAATGGAATCATCAAATGGAATCAAATACAATCATCAAATCTAATCGAATGGAATCGAATGGAATCATCAAATGGAATCGAATGGAATCATCATCGAACGGAATCCAATGGAATATAAGAATGAAATCATATGGAATCATCATCGATTGGAATCGATTGGAACCAACATGGAAAGGAAACTAATGGAATCATCATCGAATGGAATTGAATGTTATCATCAAATGGAAGCAAATGAGATCGAATGGAATCATTGAATGGAAATGAAAGGAATCATAATTGGCCAGAAACGAATGGAATCAACATCCATTTGATGATGATTCCATTCGATTCCAGCCATTGATGATTCCATTCGATTCCATTCAAAGATTCCTTTTGATTCCATTTGATGATGATTCTATTTGATTTCATTCAATGATGATTCCATCCAAGTCCATTCATTTCCATTCGATGATTCCATTCGATTCCATTCGATGGTGATTCTATTTGAGTCCATTCAATGATAATTCCATTCGAGTCAATTCGGTGATGATATCATTCGAGTCCATTCTATGATGATTCCATTAGAGTTGATTCGATGATGATTCCATTCGAGTCTATTTGATGATGATTCCATTCGAATTCATTCAATGATTCCATTTGAGTCAATTCGATGATGCTTCCATTTGAGTCCATTCGATGATGATTTCAATCGATTCCATTCAACGATGATTCCATTCGAGTCCATTCGATGATGATTCCATTCAATTCCATTCGATGATTCCCTTTGATTCCATTTGATGATTCCATTCGATTCCATGCGATGATGATTCCATTCGATTCCATTTGATGATGAGTCAATTCGATTCCATTCAATGATGATTTCATTCGATTCCATTTGATGATGATTCCATTTGATTCCGTTCAGTGATGATTCCAATTGATACCATTCGATGATGATTGCATTCGAATCCCTTCGATGATGATGCCATTCGAGGCAATTTGATGATGAGTCGATTCAATTCCTTTCGATGATGATTTCATTTGATTCCATTCGATGATGATTCCATTCGATTCCATTCGATGATGATTCCAATTGATACCATTTGATGATGATTGCATTCGATTCCATTCAATGATGATGCCATTCGAGTCAATTTGAAGATGATTCCACATGAGTGCATTCGACAATGATTCCATTCGATTCCCTTTGATGATTCCTTTTGATTCCATTGGATGACTCCTTTTGATTCCATTCGATGATGATTTCTTTGGACTCCATTCGATGATTCCATTCAATTCCATTTCATGATTCTTCCATTCGATTCCATTCAATGATGATTCCATTCAATTCCATTTGATGATTATTCTATTCGTTTCCATTCGATGATGATTCCATTTGATTCCACTCGATGATGATTCCATTTGATTCCATTAGATGATGATACCATTTGATTCCATTCAATGATGATTCCATTCAAGTCCATTCGATGATGATTCCATTTGAGTCCATTCCATACCATTCGAGTCCATTCCTTTCCATTTGAGTCCATTCCATTCAATTCGAGTCCATTCCATTTCATTCCATTCCGTTCCATTCCATTCCACTCCACTCCATTCCACTCCACTCCACTCCACTCCACTCCATTCCATTCCATTCCATTCCATTCCACTCCACTCCATTCCACTCCACTCCACTCCACTCCTTTCCATTCCAATCCACTCCACTGCATTCCATTCCATTCCACTCCACTGCATTCCATTCCATTCCATTCCTTTCCACTCAATTCCATTCCATTCCGTTCCACTCAGTTCCATTCCATTCCATTCCACTCCATACCACTCCATTACACTCCTCTCCACTCCACTCCACTCCATTCCATTAAATTCCATTCCATTCCACTGCATTCCATTGTATTACCTTCTTTCAAGAATATCTAACTCTGTCACCCAGCCTGGAGTGCAGTGACACAATCTCAGCTCCCATTCCATTCCATTCCATTTGTTTCGATTCCATTCTATTTGATTCCATTCCATTCCATTCCATTCCATTCCTTCTATTCCATTAAATGATTCCGTTTGATTCCATTCGATGATTCCATTCAACTCCTTTTGATGATTCCATTCGATTCCTTTCGATGATGATTCCATTTGATTCCATACAATGAATCCATTCGAATCCATTCGGTGATGATTCCTTTCAATTCCATTTGATGATTCCATTTGATTCCATTCTGTGATGATTCCATTCAATTCCATTTTTTGATTCCATTCGATTCCATTAGATGATGATACCATTCAATTCCATTCAATGATTCCATTCGATTCCATTCTATGATGATTCCATTCGAGTCCATTTGATGATTATTCCATGCGAGTCCATTCCATTCCATTTGAGTCCATTCCTTTCCATTAGAGTCCATTCCAATTCTTTCGAGTCCATTCCATTCCTTGCCATTCCATTCCACTCCACTCCACTCCACTCCATTCCACTCCACTCCACTCAATTCCATTCCAATCCACTCCACTGCATTCCATTCCATTCCACTCCATTCTATTCCATTCCATTCCACTCCATACCACTTCACTTCACTCCACTCCTCTCCACTGCATTCCATTTCATTCCATTCCATTCCACTGCATTCCATTCTATACCGTTCTTTTGACAGTATCTCACTCTGTCACACAGCCTGGAGTATAGTGGAACAATCTCAATTCCCATTCCATTCCATTCCTTTTGATTCCATTTGATTCCACTTGATGATTCCATTAGATTCCATTCGATGATGATTCCATTAGATTCCATTGGAGGATGATTTCATTCGATTCCTTTTGATGATGATTCCACTCGAGTCCATTCGATGATGATTCCTTTCGAGTCCATTCAATGATGATTCCATTCGATTCCATTCAATGTTGATTCCATTCAATTCCATTTGATGATTCCATTTGACTCCATTTGATGATGATTCCATTTGATTCCATTCGACGATGTTTCCATTCAATTCCATTCCATGAAGATTTCATTCGATTAGATTTGATGATTCCATTCGATTCCAGTCGATGTTTCCTCCATTCGATTCCATTCAATGATTCCATTTGATTCCATTTGATGACGATTCCAATTGATTCCATTCGATGATTCCATTTGATTCCATTCGATGATTCCATTCAACTCCATTTGATGATGATTCCATTGAATTCCATTCGATGATTCCAACTGATTCCATTCGATGATGATTCCATTTGATTCCATTCGATGATTCCATTCGATTCCAATTGATGATTACATTTGATTCCATCCAATGATTATTCCATTTGATTCCATTCTATGATGATTCCATTCGATTCATTCGATGATGATTCCTTTCGATGATGATTCCATTCGATTCCTTTTGATGATGATTCCATTCAATTCCATTCAATAATGACTCTGTTCAATTCCATTAGATGATGATTTCATTAGATTCCATTCGATGATGATTCCATTTGATTCCATTCAATGATGATGCCATTTGATTCCATTCGATGATTCCATTTGATAGTGATTCCATTCGATTCCATTCAATGATTCCATTCGATTCTATTCCATTCCATTCAGTGATTCCACTCGATTCCATTCGATGATTCCATTTGATTCCATTCTATAATGATTCCATTATATTCCATTCAATGATTCCATTCAAGTCCATTCGATGTTTTTTCCGTTCGTGTCCATTCGATTATGATTCTGTTAACGTCAATTCAATGATGATTCCGTTCGATTCCATTCTATCATTCCATTCGATCCCACTTGATGATTTCGTCCGATTCCATTCAATGATTCTGTTCAATGCCATTCGATGAAGATTCCATTTGATCCCATTCAATGATTCCATTTGATTCAATTTGATGATGATTCCGTTCAATTCCATTCGATGATTCCATTCGATTCCATTTGATGATGATCCCTATCGATTCCATTCAGTGATTGCATTCGCTTCAATTCGATGATGATTCCATTTGATACCATTTGATGATTCCATTTGATTCCATTCGATGATTCCATTCAATTCCATTTGAACATTCCAGTCGATTCCATTTGATGATGATTCCATTCGATTCCATTCAATGATGATTCCATTCGATTCCATTAGATGATGATTCCATTGAAGTCCATTTGATGATAATTCCATTCGAGTCCATTCAATGATGATTCAATTTTATTCCATTCGATGATGATTCCATTCGATTCCATTCAATGATATTTCCATTCGATTCCATTCAATGATGATTCCATTCGATGATGATTCTATTTGATTTCATTCGATGATGTTTACCATCAATTTCATTCGATGATGATTCCATTCGATTCCATTCGATGATGATTCCATTTGATTCCTTTTGATGATGATTCTATTCAGTTCCATTTGATGATGATTCCATTTGCTTACTTTTGATGATGATTCCATTCAAATCAATTCAATGATGATTCCATTCCATTATCTTTGATGATGATACCATTCGTGTCCATTTGATGATGATTCCATTCGTGTACATTCGATGATGATTCCATTTGATTACGTTCAGTGATTCCATTTGATTCCATTCGATGATTGCATTTGATTCCATTTGATGATGATTCCATTTGAAGATTCCATTCGATTCCATTCCATGATGATTCCATTCAATTCCTTTTGATTATTCCATTTGATTCCATTCGATGATGATTCCATTTGATTCCATTCGATGATTATTCCATTCAATTTCATTTGATGATTCCATTCGATTCCATTCGATGATGATTCCATTCGATTCCATTTGTTGATAATTCCATTAGATTCGCTTCAATGATGATTCTGTTTGATTGCATTCAATGATGCATTGATGATGATTCCATTTGATTCCATTCAATGATGATTCCATTCGAGTACATTCTATCATGTTTCCATTTGAGTCTATTTCATTATTATTCCATTTGATTCCATTCAATGATGATTCCATTCAATTCCATTCGACGATTCCTTTCAATTCCATTTGATTCCTTTCGATCATTCAATTCGATTTCATTTGATGTTTCCATTCGATTCCATTTGATGATTCCGTTCGACTCCATTTGATGATGATTCCATTGAATTCCATTCGATGATTCTAATTGATTCCATTCAATGATGATTCCATTTGATTCCATTCAATTACATTCAATGATTCCATTCAATTCCCATTGATGATTACATTTGATTCCATTCAATGATTATTCCATTTGATTCCATTCCATGATGATTCCATTTGATTCCATTTGATGATGATTCCTTTTGATGATGATTCCATTTGATTCCTTTCTATGATGATTCCATTTGATTCCATTCAATAATGACTCCGTTCGACTCCATTCGATGATGATTTCGTTCAATTCCATTCCATGATGATTCCATTCGATTCCATTCGATGATGATGACATTTGATTCCATTTGAAGATCCCATTCAATTGCATTTGATAGTGATTCCATACGATTCCATTTGATGATTCCTTTTGATTCCATTCCATTTGATTCCATTCCATTCGATGATTCCACTCGATTCCATTCGATGATATTCAACTCCATTCTATAATGATTCCATTTTATTCCATTCAGTGATTCCATTCGAATCCATTCAATGATGCTGTTCAATTCCATTCGTGGATGATTCTGTTCGATTCCATTCGATGAGGATTCCGTTCGATTCCATTGGATGATGATTCCGTTTGATTCCATTTGATGATGATGCAGTTCGAGTCCATTCGATAATGATTCCCTTTGAGTCCATTCGATGTTGTTTCCATTCGTGTCCATTCAATTATGATTCCGTTCAAGTCAATTCAATGATGATTCCGTTTGATTCCATTCTATGATTCTGATCGATCCCACTCGATGATGATTTCGTTCAATTCGATTTAATGATTCCGTTCAATTCCATTCGATGAAGAGTCTGATCGATCCCATTCAATGATTCCATTTGATTCAATTAGATGATGATTCCATTTGATTACATTAAATAATTCCAGTCAATTCCATTTGATGATGATTCCATTTGATTCCACTTGATGATTCCGTTTGATTCCATTTGATGATGATCCTTATTGATTCCATTCGATGATTGCATTGGCTTCCATTCAATGATGATTTCATTCTTTACCATTCGATGATTCCATTCAATTCCATTCGATGACTCCATTCAATTCCATTCGAACATTCCAGTCGATTCCATTCAATGATGATTCCATTCGATTAAATTCGATGATGATTCCATTCGAGTCCATTCGATGATAATTCCATTCGAGTCCATTTGATGAGGATTCCATTTGATTCCATTAGATTATGATTCAATTCAATTCCATTTGATGATGATTCCATTCGATTCCATTCAATGATGTTTCCATTCAATTCCATTCGATGATGTTTACCGTTGATTTCATTCAATGATGATTCCATTTGATTCCTTTTGATGATTCCATTCGATTCCATTTGATTCCATTCTATGATTCCATTGGATGCCAGTCGATGATGATTCCATTCGATACCATTCGAAGTTTCCATTCAAATCCATTTGATGATGATTCCATTTGAGTCCATTCGATGATGATTCCATTCGTGTACATTGGATGATGATTCCGTTTGGGTCCATTAGATGATTATTCCATTCGATGCCATTCGATGATGATTCTATTTTATTCCATTCGATGATGATTCCATTCACTTCCTTTCGATGATGATTCCATTCAATTCCATTCAGTGATGATTCTATTCAATTCCACTCGATGATGCTTCCATTCTATTCCATTTGATGATGATTCCATTCGATTCCAATTGATGATGATTCCATTCGAGTACATTCGATGATGTTTCCATTCGATTCCATTCGATGATTCCATTCAATTCCATTTGATGATGATTCCATTCGATTCCATGTAGTGATGATTCCATTTGATTCCATTCAATGATGATTCCATTCGATTCCATGTAGTGATGATTCCATTCGATTCCATTCGATGATGATTCCATTTGATTCCATTCACTGATGATTCCATCTAATTCCATTCAATGATTCCATTCGATTCCATTCGATGATGATTCCATTCGATTCCATTTGATGATTCCATTTGATTCCATTCAATGATTCCATTTGATTCCATTCAATGATGATTTCATTCGATTCCATTCCATAATGATTCCTTTCTATCTGTTTCAATGATGATTCCATTGGATGATGATTCCTTTCGAGTCCGTTCGATGATTATTCCATTCGATTCCATTCGTTGATGATTCCATTCGATTCCATTTGATGATGATTCTATTCAATTCCATTTGATGGTGATGCCATTTGATTCCATTCGATGATTCCATTCGATTCCATTTGATGATGATTCCCTTCGATTCCTTTCGATGATTCCATTTGCTTCCATTTAATTCCATTCGATGATTCAATTGGATGTCATTCGATGATTCCATAAGATTCCCTTTGATGATGATTCTATTCCGTCCTTTCAATGATGATACCAATCGATTCCATTCGATGATTATTCCATCCGATTCCATTCGATGATCTCATTTGATTCCATATGAAGATTCCATTCGATGATGATTCCATTTGAGTCCATTCAAAGTTGATTCCACTCGATTCCATTCGATGATGATTCCATTGGATTCCATATGATGATGATTCCATTTGATTACATTTGATGATGATTCTATTCAATTTCATTCAATGATGATTCCCTTCACTTCCTTTCGATGATGAGTCCATTCGTGTCCATTTGATGATTATTCCATTCGAATTGACTCGATGATTATTCCATTGGATTATATTTGGTGATGATTCCATTCGTGTCCATTTGATGATGATTCCATTAGTGTACATACGATGATGATTCAATTTGTTTCCATTCGATGATTCCATTCGATTCCATTCAATGATTGCATTTGATTCCATTCAAAGATTCCTTTCGATTCCATTCCATGATTACTCCACTTGATTCCTTTTGATCATTCCATTCGATTCCATTTGATGATGATTCGATTCAATTCCATTCAATGATTATTCCATTCAATTTCATTTGATGATTCCATTCGATTCCATTCAATGATGATTCCATTCGAGTCCATTCGATGATGATTCCATTCGAGTCCATTTGATGAGGATTCCATTTGAGTCCATTCGATGATGATTCCATTCGATTCCATTCGATGATTCTATTCGATTCAATTCGATGATGTTTACAGTCGATTTTATTCGATGATGATTCCATTTGATTCCATTCAATGATGATTCCATAAGATTCCATTGAATGATGATTCTATTCTCTCCATTTGATGATGATACCATTCGATTCCATTCGATGATTATTCCATTCGATTCCATTTGATGATCCCATTCAATTCCATATGAAGATTCCATTCAATGATGATTCCATTCGAGTCCATTTGATGGTGATTCCACTCGATTCCTTTCCATGATGATTCCATTGGATTCCATACGATGATGATTCCATTCGATAACATTGGATGATGATTCTATTTGATTCCATTCGATGATGATTCCATTCGCTTCCTTTTGACGATGATTCCATTCTATTCCATTCGATGATGATTCCATTTGAGTCCATTCGATGATGATTCCATTCAAATTTATTTGTTGATGATTCCATTTGATTACATTTGATGATGATTCCATTCGTGTCCATTTGATGTTGATTTCATTCATGTACATTCGATGATTATTCCATTTGATTCTATTTGATTATTCCCTTCGATGATTCCTTTGGATTTCATTCGATGATAATTACATTTGATTCCATTCGAAGATTCCATTCGATTCCATTCCATGATGATTCCATTCGATTCCTTTTGATGATTCCATTCGATTCCATTTGATGATGATTACATTCAATTCCATTCGATGATTATTCCATTCAATTTCATTTGATGATTCCATTCGATTCCATTTGATGATGATTCCATTCGATTCCTTTTGATGATAATTCCATTAGATTCCATTCGATGATGATTCCATTCAATTCCATTTGACGATGCCTTCTATGATGACTCCATTTGAGTCCATTCAATGATGATTCCATTCGAGTACATTCGATGATGATTTGATTCCAGTCTATTAGATTATGATTCCATTTGATTCCATTTGATGATGATGCCATTCAATTCCATTCGATGATTCCATTCGATTCCATTCAATGATGATTCCGTTCATATCCATTCAATTACATACGATGTTTCCATTCGATCCCAATCAATGATTACATTCGATTCCATTCAATGATTATTCCATTTGATTCCTTTCTATGATGATTCCATTCGATTCCATTTGATGATGATTCCGTTTGATGATGATTCCATTCCATTCCTTTTGATGATGATTCCATTTGATTCCATTCGATAATGACTCCATTCCATTCCATTCAATGATGATTTCTTTCAATTCCATTTGAAGATCATTCCATTCAATTCCATTCGATAGTGATACCATTCAATTTCATTCGATGATTCCTTTAGATTCCATTTAGTTCCATTCAATGATTCCACTCGATTCCATTTGATGATTCCATTCGACTCCATTCGATGACTCCATTCCATTCCATTCGATGATTCCATTCGATTCCATTCGATGATGTTTCCAAATGATTCCATTCAATGATTCCATTCATTTCCATTTGATGATGATTCCATTCATTTCCATTCGATGATGATTCCATTCGATTTCATTCGATGATTCCATTTGATTCCATTTGATGATGATTCCATTCAATTCCTTTCAGTGACTCCATTCGATTCCATTTGATTCCATTCGATGATTCCATTGGGTGCCATTCGATGATTCTATTCGATTCCATTCAATGATGATTCCATTCGATTCCATTTGAAGATTCCATTCGAATCTATTCGATGATGATTCCATTTGAGTCCATTCAGTGATGATTCCATTCGGGTCCATTCGATGATGATTCCATTCGTGTCCATTGGATGATGATTCCGTTCGGGTCCATTCGATGGTGATTCCATTCAATGCCATTCGATGATGATTCTATTCGATTCCATTCTATGATAATTCCATTTGCTTCCTTTCAATGATAATCCCATTCAATTCCATTCGATGATGATTCTATTCGATTCCATTCGATGATGTTTCCATTCGATTCCATTCAATGATGATTCCATTCGATTCCATTCGATGATGATTCCATTTGAGTCCATTTGATGATGATTCCATTCGAGTCCATTCGATGATGATTCCATTTGAATACATTCGATGATGATTCCATTCGAGTACATTCGATGGTGATTCCATTCGATGCCATTCGATGATGATTCCATTCTATTCCATTCGATGATGATTCCATTCGAGTCCATTTGATGATGATTCCATTCTATTCCATTCGATGATGATTCCATTCGAGTCCATTTGATGATGATTCCATTCGAGTACATTCGATGATGATTCCATTCGAGTACATTCGATGGTGATTCCATTCGATGCCATTCGATGATGATTCTATTTGATTCCATTTGATGATGTTTCCATTCGATTCCATTTGATGATGATTCCATTCGATTCCATTTGATGATGATTCCATTCGAGTCCATTTGATGATGATTCCATTCGAGTCCATTTGATGATGATTCCATTTGAGTCCATTTGATGATGATTCCATTCGAGTCCTTTTGATGATGATTCCATTCGAGTACATTCGATGATGATTCCATTCGAGTACATTCGATGATGATTCCATTCGAGTACATTCGATGGTGATTCCATTCGATGCCATTCGATGATGATTCCATTCTATTCCATTCGATGATGATTCCATTCAAGTCCATTTGATGATGATTCTATTCGAGTACATTCGATGATGATTCCATTCGAGTACATTCGATGGTGATTCCATTTGATGCCATTCGATGATGATTCTATTCGATTCCATTCAATGATAATTCCATTTGCTTCCTTTAAGTGATGATTCCATTCGATTCCATTCAATGATGATTCTATTTGATTCCATTCGATGATGTTTCCATTCGATTCCTTTCAATGATGATTCCGTTCGAGTCCATTTGATGATGATTCCATTCGAGTACATTTGATGATGATTCCATTCGAGTACATTTGACGATGATTTCATTTGATTCCATTCGATGATTCCATTCGATTCCACTTCATGATTGCATTCGATTCAATTTGATGATGATTCCATTTGATTGCATTTGATGATTCCATTCGATTCTATTCGATGATGATTTCGTTCAATTCCATTTGACGATTCCACTCAATTCCATTTGATGATGATTCCATTCGTTTCCATTCGGTGATGATTCCATTCGATTCCATTCAATGATGATTCCATCTAATTCCATTTGATGATTCCATTCGATTCCATTCAATGATGATTCCATTCGATTCCATTCGATTCCATTTGATGTTTCCATTCGATTCCATTGGATGACTCCATTTGATTCCATTCAATGATGATTTCATTTGATTCCATTCGATAATGATTCCTTTCGAGTCCATTAGATGATTATTCCATTTGATTCCATTCGTTGATGATTCCATTCTATTCCATTTGATGATGATTCCATTCGATTCCATTCGATGATGATGTCATTCAATTACATTCGATGATTCCATTCAATTCCAATTGATGATGATTCCATTCGATGATGATTCCATTCGATTCCATTCGATGATGATGCCATTCAATTCCATTCGATGATTCCATTCAATTCCATTTGATGATGATTCCATTCGATTCCTTTCGATGATTCCATTTGCTTCCATTTAGTTCCATTTGAAGATTACATTGGATGCCATTTGATGATTCCATAAGATTCCATTCGATGATGATTCTATTCGCTCCTTTCATTGATGATACCATTCGATTCCATTCGATGATTATTCCATTTGATTCCATTTGATGATCCCATTCGATTCCATATGAAGATTCCATTCGATGATGATGCCATTTGAGTCCATTCGATGTTGATTCCACTTGATTCCATTCGATGATGATTCCATTGGATTCCATACAATGATGATTCCATTCGTTTACATTGGATGATGATTCCTTTTGAGTCCATTCAATGATGATTCCATTCGAATTGATTCAATGATGATTCCATTCTATTACATTTAATGATGATTCCATTCGTGTCCATTCGGTGATGATTCCATTCATGTACATTCGATGATGATTCCATTCGATTCCTTTCGTTGATGATTCCGTTCGATTCTATTCAATGATGATTCCGTACAATTCCATTTGATGATGATGCCATTTGATTCCATTCGATGATGATGCCATTCAATTCCATTCGATGATGATGCCTTTCGATTCCATTCAATGATGATACCATTCGATTCCGTTCATTGATGATGCCATTCGAGTCCATTCAGTGATGATTCCATTTGAGTCCATTGGATGATGATTCCTTTCGAGTACATTCAATGATGATTCCATTCGAGTACATTCGATGGTGATTCCATTTGAGTCCATTCAATGATGATTCCATTTGAGTCCATTGCATTCCATTTGAGTCCATTCCATTCGAGCCCATCCCATTCCATTCCAATCCTCTCCAGTCCGCTCCATTCCACTACACTCCAATGAATTCTATTCCATTCCATTCCATTCCTCTCCACTCCACTCCACTCCTCTCCACTCCACTCCACTGCATTCTATTCCATTCCATTCCATTGCAATTTCATTGCACTCCATTCCATTCCACTCCACTTCACCCCACTCCTCTGCACTCCACTCCATTCCACTCCATTCCACTCCATCCCACTCCATTCCATTCCATTCCATTCCACTCCACTCAATTCCACTTCACTCCACTCCATTCCAGTCCACTCTATTCCATTCCATTCCTCTGCATTCCATTCCATTCCTTTCTTTTGAGAGTATGTCACCCAGTCACCCAGCCTGGAACGCAGTGACACAATCTCAGCTCCTATTCCATTCCATTCCATTTGATTCCATTTGATTCGATTCCATTTGATTCCAATCCATTCCTTTCGATTCAATTTGATTCCATTCCATTCCATTCCACTCCCTTCAACTCCACTCCACTCCTCTCCACTCCATTCCATTCCATTCCATTCCATTCCATTCCATTTCACTCCATTGCATTCCATTCCTTTCTTTTGAAAGGATATCACTGTGTCACCCAGGCTGGAGTGCAGTGGCACAATCTCAGCTCAGATTACATGTCAACTTTCCATTGCACTGCATTCTATTCCATTGCACTCCATTGCATTCCATTCCATTCCATTCCATTCCATTCCATTCCATTCCATTCCACTGCGTTCCACTCCACTCCACTCCACTACATTCCATTACATCCGATTCCATTCCACTGCATTCCACTCCTCTCCTCTCCAGTGCACTCCACTCCTTTCCATTCCATCCCATTCCATTCCGCTCCATTCAACTGCACTCTACTCCACCCCACTCCACTTCATTCCATTCCATTCCATCCCATTCCATTCCTCTCCATTCCACTCCACTCCACTTCACTCCACTCCACTCCACTCCAGTCCATTCCATTCCATTCCATTCCATTCCATTCCATTCCACTGCATTCCATTCCATTCCATTCTTTCGAGAGTATCTCACTCTGTCACCCAGCATGGAGTGCAGTGGCACAACCTGAAAGCCTATTCCATTCCATTCCATTCCATTCCATTCCATTCTATGCCATTCCATTCCATTCCATTCCATTCTATGCCATTCCATTCCATTCCATTCCATTCCATTCTATTCCATGCCATGCCATTCCATTCCATTCCATTCCATTCCATTCCATTCCATTCCATGCCATTCCATTCCATTCCATTCCATGCCATGCCATTCCATTCCATTCCATTCCATGCCATTCCATTCCATTCCATTCCATGCCATGCCATTGCATTCCACTCCTTTCTTTTGACAGGATCTCCCTCTGTCACACAGGCTGTAGTGCAGTGGCACAATCTTAGCACACATTTCTCCATTACGTTCTGTTCCGTTCCACTCCACTCTACTACATTGCATTACATCCGATTCCATTCCACTCCATTCCACTCCTCTCCACTCCATTGCAGTCCACTCCACTCCATTTCACTCCATCCCATTCCATTCTGCTCCATTCCACTGCACTCCACTCCACGCCACTCCACTTTATTTCATTTCATTCCATCCCATTCCATTCCTCTCCATTCCACTCCACTCCACTTCACTCCACTCCACTCCAGTCCACTCCATTCCATTCTATACCATTCCATTCCACTGCATTCCATTCCATTCCTTTCTTTCAAGAGTATCTCACTGTCATCCAGCCTGGAGCGCAGTGGCACAATCTCAGCTCACATTTCATTTCACCATTCCATTCCATTCCATTCCATTCCATTCCATTCCACTCCACTCCACTCCACTCCACCCCACTCTAAACCATTCCACTCCACTCCTCTCCATTCCACTCCACTCCACTCCTTTCCATTCCATCCCATTCCAGTCATTTCCACTCCACTTCACTCCACTCCATTCAATTCCATTCCACTCTATTCTATTCCATTCCTTTCTTTTGACAGGATCTCACTCTGTCACCCAGGCTGGTGTGCAATGGCACAATCTCAGCTCACATTTCATTTCACCATTCCATTCCATTCCATTCCATTCCATTCCACTGCACTCCACTCCACTCAATTCCACTGCACTCCATTCCACTCCATGCCAGTCCAGCTCCACTCCTTTCTGTCCCATCCCATTCCATTCCACTCCTTTCCACTCCACTCCACTCCAGTCCACTACATTCTATTCCATTCCATTCCCCTGCATTCCATTCCATTCATTTCTTTTGAGAGTATCTCACTCTGTCACCCAGCATGGAGCACAGTGGCACAACCTGAGCACGCTTATTCCATTCCATTCCATTCCATCCCATTCCATTCCATGCTTGCCATGCCATGCCATGCCATTCCATTCCATTCCAATCCTTTCTTTCGATAGGATCTCCCTCTTTCACACAGGCTGTAGTGCAGTGGCACAATCTCAGCACACATTCCTCCATTACGTTCCGTTCCATTCTGTTCCTTTCCATTCCATTCCGTTCCACTCCAATCCACTCCACTCCACTACATTCCATTACATCTGATTCCATTCCACTCCTCTCCACTCCACTGCAGTCCACTCCACTCCATTTCACTCCATCCCATTCCATTCTGCTCCATTCCACTGCACTCCACTTCATTTCACTCCATCCCATTCCACTCCGCTCCATTCCACTGCACTCCACTTCATTTCATTCCATTCCATTCCATTCCATTCTTCTCCATTCCACTCCACTCCACTTCACTCTACTCCATACAACTCCAGTCCACTCCATTCCATTCCATACCATTCCATTCTGCTGCATTCCATTCCATTCCTTTCTTTCAAGAGTGTCTCACTCTGTCACCCAGCCTGGAGCACAGTGGCACAATCTCAGCTCACATTTCATTTCACCATTCCATTCCATTCCATTCCATTCCACTCCACTCCACTCCATTCGAGTCCACTCAACTCCTTTCCATTCCATCCCATTCCATTTCACTCATTTCCACTCCACTCCACTCCATTCCATTCCATTCCATTCCTTTCTTTTGACAGGATCTCACTCTGTCACCCAGGCTGGTGTGCAGTGGCACAATCTCAGCTCACATTTCATTTTACCATTCCATTCCATTCCATTCCATTCCATTCCACTGTGCTCTACTCCACTCCACTCAATTCCACTGCGCTCCACTCCACTCCATTCCAGTCCACTCCACTCCTTTCAGTTCCATCCCATTCCATTCCACTCCTTTCCACTCCACTCTACTCCCTCCATTCCACTCCATTCCATTCCATTCCACTGCATTCCATTCTCTTCCTTCCTTTTGACAGGATCTGACACTGTAACACAGGCTGTAGTGCAGTGGCACAATCTCAGCTCCCATTTCATTTCACCATTCAATTACATTCTATTCTGTACCATTATGTTTGATTCCATTCCATTCCTTTCCATTATTTTCCATTCTATTCCACTCCAATTCACTCCACTCCACTCCATTCCATTCCATTCCATTCTACTCCACTTCACTCCACTCCCCTCTTCTCCATTCCATTCCATCCCAATCCATTCCACTCCTTTCCACTCCACTCCATCCCATTCCACTCCACTCCATGCCACTCCGCTCCACTCCACTCCACTCCATTCCATTCCATTCCATTCCATTCCACTCCAATCCACACACATCACAAAGTTGTTTCTCAGAATGCTTCTGTTTAGTTTTTATGAGAGGATATTTCCTTATACTCAGGAAGCTGTAATGTGCTCCAAGGTTCCCTCTGCAGAATCTATTAAAAGACAATATCCAAACTACTCAGTCAAAAGAAAGTTTCAACCCTGTTAGATGAATGCACACATCACAAAGAAGTTTCTCAGAATGCTTCTGTCTGGTTATTATGTGAAGATACTTCCTTTTCCACAATAGGCCTCAAGAGCTCCAAATATCCACTTGCAGATTCCACAAAAAGAGTGTTTCAAAACTGCTCAATCAAAAGAACGGTTCAGCTCTGTCAGATGAATGCACACATCACAAAGAAGTTTCTCAGAATGCTTCTGTCTAATTTTTATGTGAAGATATTTCCTTTTCCACAATAGGCCACAAAGTGCTCCAAATATCCACTTGCAGATTATACAAAAAGAGTGTTTCCAAGCTGCTCAAAAAAAAGAAAGGTTCAGGTCTGTGAGATGAATGTACACAGCAGAAAGAAATTTATCAGAATTCTTCTGCCTAGTTTTTTTGCGACGATATTTCCTTTTCCACTAAAGTCCTCATAGCACTCCGAATGTCCACTTACAGATTCTACAAAAAGTGTGTTTCAAAACACCTCAAACAAAAGAAAAGTTCAACTCTGTGAGTTGAATGCACACATCACAAAGAAGCTTCTCAGAATGCTTCTGTCTAGTTCTTAAGTGAAGATATTTCCTTTTCCACCATAGGCTTCAAAGCACTCCTTAAGTCTCATGTCCTCCTGCAGATTCTAGAAAAAGAGAGTTTACAAACTACTCCAATCAAAAGAAAGGTTCAATTCAGTGGGAGGAATGCAAACATCCCAAAGAATTTTGTCTGAGTGATTCTGTGTAGTTTTTATGTGAAGATATTTCCTTTTCCACCATAGGCCTTAAAGCACTCCAAATGTCCTCCTGCAGATAGTACAAAAAGGGTGCTTCAAAACTGCTCAATCAAATGTAAGGTTCAACTCTGTGAGATAAATGAACATAACACAAAGCGTTTTCTCACAATGATTCCGTCTAGTTTTTTGTGAAGATATTTCCTTTTCCACCATGGGACTCCAGGCTCTCCAAACATACACTTGCAGATTCTACAAAAACAGTGTTTCAAAACTGCTTAATCGAAAGAAAGGTTCAACTTTGTGAGATGCATGCACACATCACAAAGAAATTTCTCAGAATGATTCTGTCCAGTTTTTATGTGAAAATATTTCCTTTTCCAACATAGGAAATCCCTCGAAATGTCCAATTGCAGATTCTATAAAAAGAGGGTTTCAAAACACCTCAATCAAAAGAAAGTTTCAATTATGTGAAATGAATGCACACATCACAAAGAAGTTTCTCAGAATGCTTCTGTCTAGTCCTTAAGCGAAGATATTTCCTTTTCCACCATAGGCCTCACAGTGCTTCAAATGTCCACTTGCAGATTCCACAAAAAAAAGTGTTTCAAAGCTGATCAATCAAAAGAAAGGTTCAACTCTGTGACATGAATGCACATATCACAAAGAAGTTTGTCAGAATGCTTCTGTCTAGTTTTTATTTGAAGATATTGCCTTTTCCACCATAGGCCTCAAAGTACTCCAAATATCCATATTCAGATAGTACAAAAAGGGTGTTTCAAAACTGTTCAATCAAATGTAAGGTCCAACTCTGTGAGATGAATGCACATATCACAAAGAAGTTCTTCAGAATTCTTCTGTCTAGTTTTTATGTGAAGATATTTCCTTTTCAACCAGAGGCCTCAAAGTGCTCCAAATGTCCACTTGCAGATTCTACAAAAAGAGTGTTACAAAACTGCTCAATCAAAAGAAAGTTTCAAGTGCGTGAGATGAATGCACACATCACAAAGAATTTTCTCAGAATGATTTTGTCTAGTTTTTATGTGAAGATATTTTCCTTTCCACCATTGGCCTCAAAGCGCTCCAAATGTACACTTGTAGATTCTACAAAAAGGGTGTTTGAAAACTGCTCAACGAAAAGAAATGTTCACTCTGTGAGATGAATGCACCCATCAGAAAGAAGTTTTTCAGAATGTTTCTGTATACTTTTTATGTGAATATATTTCCTTTTCCAACATAGGTCACAAAGCCCTCCAAATGTCGAATTGTAGATTCTACAAAAAGAGTATTTTAAAACTGCTCAAGCAAAAGAAATGTTCAGCTCTGTGAAATGAATGCACACATCAGAAAGAAGGTCATCAGAATGCTTCTGTCTAGTTTTTATGTGAAGCTATTTCCTTTTCCCCAATACTCCTCAAAGCGCTCCAAATGTCCACTGGCAGATTCTACAAAAAGAGAGTTTCAAAACTCCTCAATCAAAAGAAAGGTTCAACTCTGTGTGATGAATGCACACAGCACATAGTAATTTGTCAGAATGCTTCTGTCTAGTTTTTATGTGAAGACTTTTCCTTTTGCACCATAGGCCTCAAAGCACTCCAAATTTCACAGAGTTCAAACTTTGTTTTGATTGAGCAGCTTTGAAACACTCTTTTTGTAGAATCTGTAAGTGGATATTTGGAGCACTTTGAGGCATGTGGTGGAAAAGGAAGTATCTTCACAGAAAAACTAGACAGAAGCATTCAGACAAACTTCTTTGTGGTGTATGTATTCATCTCACACAGTTGAAATTTTCTTTTGATTGAGCAGCTTTGAAACACTCTTTTTGTAGAATCTGCAAGTGGACTTTTGGAGCGCTTTGAGGCCTATGGTGGAAAAGGAAATAGCTTCACATAAAAACTAGACAGAAGCATTCTGACAATTTCTTTGTGAATTGTGCATTCATCTCACAGAGTTGAATCTTTCTTCTGATTGAACAGCTTTGAAACACTCTTTTTGTAGAATCTGCAAGTGGACATTTGGAGCACTTTGTGACCTATGGTGGAAAAGGAAATATCTTCACATAAAAACTAGACAGAAGCATTCTGACAAACTACTTTGTGATGTGTGCATTCATCTCGCAGGGTTGAACCTCACTTTTCATTGAGCAGTTTTGAAACACTCTTTTTGTAGAATCTTCAATTGGATATTTGGAGCTTTTTGAGGCCTGTGGTGGATAACGAAATATCTTCATATAATGACTAGACAGAAGCATTCTGACAAACTTCTTTGTGATGTGTGCATTCATTTCACAGAGTTGAACCTTTCTTTTGATTGAGCAACTTTGAAAAACTCTTTTTGTAGAATCTGCAAGTGGACGTGTGGAGCACTTTGAGGCCTATGGTGGATAAGGAAATATTTCCATATAAAAATTAGACAGAAGCATTCTGACAAACTTATTTGTGATGTGTGCATTCCTCTCACAGAATTGAAACTTTCTTTTGATGGAGCAGCTTTGAAATACTCTTTTTCTGGAATCTGTAAGTGGACATTTGGAGCACTTTGAGACCTCTGGTGGAAAAGGAAATATCTTCACATAAGAACTAGACAGAAGCATTCTGACAAACTTCTTTGTGATGTGTGCATTCATCTCACAGCTTTGAAACTTAATTTTCATTGAACAGTTTTGAAACACTCTTTTTGTAGAATATGGAAGTGGACATTTGGAGTGCTTTGAGGCCTATGGTGGATAACGAAATATCTTCATATAATAACTAGACAGAAGCATTCTGAGAAACTTCTTTGTGATGTGTGCATTCATCTCACAGAGCTGTACTTTTCTTTTGATTGAGCAGCATTGAAAAACTCTTTTTCTAGAATCTGGAAGTGGATATTTGGAGCCCTTTGAGGCATACTGGGGAAAAGGAAATATCTTCACATAAAAACTAGACAGAAGCATTCTGACAAACTTCTTTGTGATGTGTGCATTCATCTCACAGAGTTGAAACTCACTTTTCATTGAGAAGTTTTGAAACACTCTTTTTGAAGAATCTGCAAGAGGACATTTTGAGTGCTTTGAAGCCTATGGTCGAAAAGGAAATATCTTCACATAAAAACTAGGCAGAAGCATTCTGACAAACTACTTTGTGATGTGTGCATTCATCTCACAGCTTTGAAACTTACTTTTCACTTAACAGCTTTGAAATACTCTTTCTGAAGAATCTGCGAGTGGACATTTGGAGCGCTTTGATGGCTGTGGTGGAAAAGGAAATATCTTCACATAAAAACTAGACAGAACCATTCTGACAAACTTCTTTGTGATGTGAGCATTCATCTCACAGACTTGAAACTTTCTTTTGATTGAGCAGCTTTGAAACACTCTTTTTGAAGAATCTGCAAGTGGATGTTTGGAGCACTTTGAGGCCTATGGTGGAAATGGAAATATCTTCACATAAAAATTAGACAGAAGCATTCTGACAAACTTCTTTGTGATGTGTGCATTCACCTCACATAGTTGAACCTCACTATTCATGGGGGAAAAGGAAAGATCTTCACATAAAAATTAGAAAGAAGCATTCTTACAAACTTCTTTGTGATGTTTGAATTCATCTCAAAGAGTTGAAACTTACTTTTCATTGAGCAGTTTTGAAACACTGTTTTTGTAGAATGTGAAAGTGGATATTTGGAGCGCTTTGTGGCCTATGGTGGAAAAGGAAATATCTTCTTATGAAAACTAGACAGAAGCATTCTGACAAACTCCTTTGTGATGTGGGCATTCATCTCACAGTGTTGACCCTTTCTTTTGATTGAGTAGCTTTGAAACACTCTTTTTGTAGAATCTGTAAGTGGACATTTGGAGCGCTTTAAGGCCTATGGTGGAAAAGGAAATATCTTCATATAAAAACTAGACAGAAGCATTCTGACAAACTTCTTTGTGATGTGTGCATTCATCTCACAGAGTTGAAACATTGTTTTGATTGAGCAGCTTTGAATAACTCTTTTTGTAGAATCTGCAAGTGGATATTTGGAGCGCTTTGAGGCCTATGGTGGAAAATGAAATATCTTCACATAAAAACTAGACAGAAGCATTGTGGCAAACTTCTTTGTGAAGTGTGCATTAATCTCTCAGCATTGAAACTTAAATTTCATTCAGCAGTTTTGAAACACTCTTTTTGTAGAATCCGCAAGTGGACTTTTGAAGTGCTTTGTGGCCTATGGTGGAAGAGGAAATATCTTCACATAAAACCTAGGCAAAAGTATTCTGACAAACTTCTAAGTGATGTGTGCATTCATCATGCAGAGTTGAAACTTTCTTTTGATTGAGCAGCTTTGAAACACACTTCTTGTAGAATCAGCAAGTAGACATTTGGAGCACTTTGGGGCCTATGGTGGATAACGAAATATCATCGTATAATAACTAGATAGAAGCATTCTGACAAACTTCTTTGTGATGTGTGCATTCATTTCATAGAGTTGAACCTTTCTTTTGATTGAGCAGCTTTGAAAAACTCTTTTTGAAATATCTGCAAGTGGACATTTGGAGCACTTTGAGGTCTATGGTGGAAAAGGAACTATCTTCACATAAAAACTAGACAGAAGCATTCTGAGAAACTACTTTTTGATATGTGCATTCATGTCCCAGAGTTGAGCCTTACTTTTCATTGAGCAGCTTTGAAACAGTCTTTTTGTAGAATCTGCAAGTGGACATTTGGAGCACTTTGTGGCCTATGGTGGAAAAGGAAATATCTTCAAATAAAACCTAGACAGAAGCATTCTGACAAACTTCTTTGTGATGTGTGCATTCATTTCTTCGAATTGAAACTTACTTTTGATTGAGCAGTTTGAAACCCTCTTTTTGTAGAATCTGCAAGTGGACATTTGTAGTGCTTTGAGGCCTGTGGTGGAAAAGGAATTATCTTCACATAAAAACCAGACAGAAGCATTCTGACAAACTTCTTTGTGATGTGTGCAATCATCTCACAGACTTGAACCTTTCTTTTGATTGACCAGTTTTGAAACTCTCTTTGTGTAGAATCTGCAAGTGGACATTTGGAGCACTTCGAAGTCTATGGTGGAAAAGAAAATATATTCACATAAAAACTAGACAGAAGCATTCTGACAAACTTCTTTCTTACATGTGCATTAATCTCACAGAGTTGAACCTCACTTTTCATTGAGCAGTTTTGAAACACTCTTTTTGCAGAATCTGCAAGTGGACATTTGGAGCGCTTTGAGGCCTACGGTGGAACAGGAAATATATTCACATAAAAACTAGACAAAAGCATTCTGACAAACTTCTTTGTGATGTGTGTATTTATCTCACAGCGTTGAAACGTTTCATTCAGTAGTTTTGAAACACTCTTTTTGTAGAATCTGCAAGTGGACATTTGAAGCGCTTTGTGGCCTGTGATTGAAAAGGAAATATCTTCACATAAAAACTAGACAGAAGCATTCTGAGAAACTACTTTGTGATGTGTCCATTCATCTCGCAGAAATGAAACTTTCTTTTGGTTGAGCAGCTTTGAAACACACTTTTTGTAGAATCTGCCAGTGGACATTTGGAGCACTTTGAGGCCTATGGTGGATAATGAGATATCTTCACATAATAACTAGACAGAAGCATTCTGACAAACTTCTTTGTGAAGTGTGCATTCATTTCACAGAGTTGAACCTTTCTTTTGATTGAGCAGCTTTGAAAAACTCCTTTTGTACAATCTGCAAGTGCACATTTGGAGCACTTTGAGGCCTATCTTGGAAAAGGAAATATCTTTACAGAAAAACTAGACAGAAGTATTCTGGCAAACTTGTTTGTGATGTGTGGATTCATCTCACAGAGTTGAAACTCACTTTTCATTGAGCAGTTTGGAAACACTTTTTTTGTAGAATCTGCAAGTGGACATTTGGTGCGCTTTGCATCCTCTGGTAGAAATGGAAATGTCTTCATATAAAATCTAGATAGAAGCAATCTCAGAAACTTCTTTGTGATGTGAGCATTTATCTCAAAGAGTTAAATCTTTCTTTTGATTGAGCAATATTCAAACTCTCTTTTTGTAGGATCTGCAAGTGGACATTTGGAGTGCATTGAGACCTATGGAAAAAAAGGAAGTGTCTTCACATAAAAACTACACAGAAGCAATCTGAGAAACTACTTTGTGATGTGTGCATTCATCCCACAGAGTTAAACCTTTCTTCTGATTGAGCAGTTTTGAAACTTTCTTTTTGTAGATTCTGCAAGTGGACATTTGGAGTGCTTTGCAGCCTATGTTAGAAAAGGAAATATCTTCATATAAAATCTAGACAGAAGCAATCTGAGAAACTTGTTCGTGATGTGTGCATTCATCTCACAGAGTTAAACCTTTCTTTTGATTGAGCAGTTTTGAAACTCTCTTTTTGTAGAATCTGCAAGTGCACATTTGGAACGCTTTGAGGCCTATAGTGGAAAAGGAAATGTCTTCACATAAAAACTAGATATGAGAATTCTGAGAAAATTCTTTGTGATGTATGCATTCATCTCCCAGAGTTGAACCCTTCTTTTGAAGGACCAGTTTTGAAATAATCTTTTTGTAGAATCTGCAAGTGGACATTTCAAGAGACTTGAAGCCCATGGTGGAAAAGGAAATGTCTTCACATAAAAACTAGACACAAGAATTCTGAGAAACTTCTTTGTAATGTGTGCGTTCACCTCACAGAGATGAACCTTTCTTTTGATTGAGCTGTTTGGAAACACTCTTTTGGTAGAATCTGCAAGTGGACATTTGGTGCGCTTTGTGGCCTATGGTAGAAAATGAAATATCTTCATGTAAAATCTAGACAGAAGCAATCTCAGAAACTTCTATGTGATATGTGCATTCATTGCACAGAGTTAACCCTTTCTTTTGATTGAGCAGTTTTGAAACTCTTTTTTTGTAGAATCTGCAAGTGGACAGTTTGAGTGCTTTGAGGCCTATGGTGGTAAGGAAATATCTTCACATAAAAACTAGACAGAAGAATTCTGAGAAACTTGTTTGTGATGTGTGCATCCATCTCACGGAGTTGAAACTTTCTTTTGATTCAGCAATTTTTAAGCAATCTTTTTGTGGTATCTACCAGTGGATATTTGGAGCACATTAAGGCCTAGGATGGAAAAGGAAATATCTTCACTTAAAAACTAGACACAAACATTCTGAAAAGCTTCTTTCTGATGTGTGCATTCATCTCACAGAGTAGAACCTTTCTTTTGATTGAGCAGTTTGGAAACAGTCTTTTTGTAGTGTCTGCAATTGGATATTTGGAGCACTTTGAGGCCTATAGTGGAAAAGGAAATATCTTCACATAAAAACTAGACAGAAGCATTCTTAGAAAGTTCGTTGTGATGTGTGCATTAAACTCACAGAGTTGAACCTTTCCTTTGATTGAGCAATTTGGAAACAGTCTTTTGTAGTATCTGCAAATGGATATTTGGAGCGCTTTGAGGCCTATGGTAATATCTTCACATAAAAACCAGACAGAGGCATTCTGAGAAGTTTCTCTGTGATGTGAGCATTCATCTCACAGAGTTGAAGCTTTCTTTTGACTGAAAAGTTTTGAAACACTCTTTTGGTAGAATGTGGAAAAGGTTATTTAGAGAGCTTTGAGGCCAATGGTGGAAAAGGAAATATCTTCACATAAACACTAGACAGAAGCATTCGAGAAACTACCATGTGATGTCTGCATTCGGCTCAAAGAGTTCAACCTTTCTTTTTTGGTTCCATATGAACTTTAAAGTAGTTTTTTCCAATTCTGTGAATAAAGGCATTGGTAGCTTGATGGCGATGGCATTGAATCTGTAAATTACCTTGGGCAGTATGGCCATTTTCACGATATTGATTCTTCCTACCCATGAGCATGGAATGTTCTTCCATTTGTTTGTATCCTCTTTTATTTCATTGAGCAGTGGTTTGTAGTTCTCCTTGAAGAGGTCCTTCACATCCCTTGTAAGTTGGAATCCTAGGTATTTTATTCTCTTTGAAGCAATTGTGAATGGGAGTTCACTCATGATTTGGTTCTCTGTTTGTCTGTTGTTGGTGTATAAGAATGCCCTTCCTTACACCTTATACAAAAATCAATTCAAGATGGATTAAAGACTTAAATGTTAGACCTAAAACCATAAAAACCCTAGAAGAAAACCTAGGCATTACCATTCAGGACATAGGCATGGGCAAGGACTTCATGTCTAAAACACCAAAAGCAATGGCAACAAAAGACAAAATTGACAAATGGGATCTAATTAAACTAAAGAGCTTCTGCACAGCAAAAGAAACTACCATCAGAGTGACCAGGCAACCTACAAAATGGGAGAAAATTTTCGCAACCTACTCATCTGACAAAGGGCTAATATCCAGAATCTACAATGAACTCAAACACATTTACAAGAAAAAAACAAACAACCCCATCAAAAAGTGGGTGAAGGACATGAACAGACACTTCTCAAAAGAAGACATTTATGGAGCCAAAAAACACATGAAAAAATGCTCATCATCACTGGCCATCATAGAAATGCAAATCAAAACCACAATGAGATACCATCTCACACCAGTTAGAATGGCAATCATTAAAAAGTCAGGAAACAACAGGTGCTGGAGAGGATGTGGAGAAATAGGAACACTTTTACACTGTTGGTGGGACTGTAAACTAGTTCAACCATTGTGGAAGTCAGTGTGGTGATTCCTCAGGGATCTAGAACTAGAAATACCATTTGACCCAGCCATCCCATTACTGGGTATATAGCCAAAGGATTATAAATCATGCTGCTATAAAGACACATGCACACGTATGTTTGTTGCAGCATTATTCACAATAGCAAAGACTTGGAACAAACCCAGATGTCCAACAATGATAGACTGGATTAAGAAAATGTGGCACATATACACCATGGAATAATATGCAGCCATAAAAATGATGAGTTCATGTCCTTTGTAGGGACATGGATGAAATTGGAAATCATCATTCTCAGTAAACTATCGCAAGAACAAAAAACCAAAGACCGCATATTCTCACTCATAGGTGGGAATTGAACAATGAGATCACATAGACACAGGAAGGGGAACATCACACTCTGGGGACTGTTGTGTGGTTGGGGGAGTGGGGAGGGATAACACTGGGAGATATATCTAATGCTAGATGACAAGTTAGTGAGTGCAGCATACCAGCATGGCACATGTATACATATGTAACTAACCTGCACAATGTGCACATGTACCCTAAAACTTAAAGTATAATAATAAAAGAAAAAAAAAACTTAAAAAAAAGGAGTTCAACCTTTCTTTGGTTTGAGGAGTATTGAAACACTCTTTTTGTAGAATCTGCAATTGGATATTTGTAGAGCTTTGAGGCCTATGGTGGAAAAAGGAATATCTTCACATAAAAACTAGACAGAAGCAATCTGAGAAACTTCTTTGTGATGTGTGCATTCCATTCAAAGAGTTGAACTTTTCTTTTGATTGAGCTGTTTAGAAACAGTCTTTTTGTACTATCTGCAAATGGTTATTTGGGGCGCTTTGAGGTCTATAGTGGAAAATGAAATATCTTCACATAAAAACTAGACAGAAGCATTTTGAGAAACTTCTTTGTGATGTGTGCATTTATCTCACAGAGTTGAAAATGTCTTTTGATTTACCAGTTTTGAAACACCCTTTTTAAAGGGTCAGCAAGTGGATATTTGGAGCACTTTGTGGCCAATAGTGGAAAAGGAAATATCTTTACCTAAAAACTAGACACAACCATTCTGAGAAACTTCTTTGTGATCTATGCATTCATTTCACAGAGTTGAAATTTTCTTTTGCTTGAGTAGTTTTGAAGCACACTTTTTGTAGAATCTACAAGTGAATACTTGGAGCGATTTGAGACTTACATTGGAAACAGAAATATCTTAATATAAAAACTAGACAGAGGCATTCTGAGAAGCTGGTTTTAATGTGTACATTCATCTCACAGTGTTGAAATTTTCTTTTGATTGATCAGTATTGAAACACTCTTTTTGTAGAATCTGCAAGTGGATACTTGGAGCGCTTTGAGGCCTATGATGGAAAAGGAAATATCTTCCCATAAAAACTAGGCAAAAGCATTCTGAGAAATTCCCTTGTGATGTGTGCATGCAACTGACAGAGTTGAACCATTCTTTTGATTGAACAGTGTGGAGACAGTCTTTTGGTAGTATCTGAAAATGGATATTTGGAACGTTTTCAGTCCTATAGAGTAAAAGGAAATATCTTCACATAAAAACTAATCAGAATCATTCTGAGAAACTACTTTGTGATGTGTGCATTCATCTCACAGAGTTGAACCTTTCTTTTGATTGTGCAGTTTTGACACACTCTTTTTGTCGATTCTGCAAGTGGATATTTGGAGCGCTTGTGGCCTATGGTGGAAAAGGAAATATCTTCACATTAAAACTAGACAGAAGGATTCTGAGAAACTTCTTTGTGATGTGTGCATTCATCTCACAGAGTTGAATCTTTCTTTTGATTGAGCATTTTAGAAACACTCTTTTTGTAGAATTTTAAAGTGCATATTTGCAGCACTTTGAGGCCTAAAGTGGAAAAGAATTATCTTCACATAAAAACTAGATAGAAGTATTCTCAGAAACTACTTTGTGATGTGTACATTCATTTCACAGAGTTCTACCTTTCTTTTGTTTGAGCAGTTTTGAAACCCTGTTTTTGTGGAATCTGCAAGTGGATATTTGGAGCTTTTTGAGGCCTGTGGTGGAAAAGGTAATATCTTCACATAAAAACTAGACAGAACCATTCTGACAAACGTCTTTGTAATGTGTGCATTCATCTCACAGAGTTGAACCTTTCTTTTGATTGAGCAGTTTTGAAACCCTCTTTCTGTGGATTCTGCAAGTGGGTATTTGGGGCGCTATGCAGCCTATGGTGAAAAAGGAAATATCTTCACATAAAAACTAGACAGAAGCATTCTGAGAGACTACTTTGTGATGTGTGCATTCATCTCACAGATTTGAACCTTTCTTTTGGTTGAGCAGTTTTGAAACACTCTTTTTGTAGAATTTGCAACTTGATATTTCTAGCGCTACGCAGCATATGGTGGAAAAGGAAATATCTTCACACAGAAACTAGACAGAAGTATTCTGAGAAACTTCTTAGTGATATGTGCATTTAACTCACAAAGATGAACCTTTCTTTTGATGGAGCAGTTTTGAAACACTCTTTTTGTAGAAACTGAAAGTGGATATTTGGAGCGATTGGTGGCCTATGGTGCAAAAGGAAATATTTTCACATAAAAACTAGACAGAAGCATTCTGAGAAACTTCTTTATGATGTGTGCACTCACCACGCAGAGTTGAAACTTTCTTTTGATTCAGTAGTTTTGAAACACTCCTTTGTAGAATCTGCAAGTGGATATTTGGAGCACTTTGAGGCCTATGGTGGAAAAGGAAATATCTTCATATAAAAGCTAAACAGAAGAATTCTGAGAAACTTCATTGTGATGTGTGCATTCATCTCACAGAGTTGAAACTTTCTATTGATTGAGCAGTTTTCAAACACTTTTTGTAGAATCTGCAAGTGGATATTTGGAGTCCTTAGAGGCCTAATGTCCAAAAGAAATATCTTCACATAAACACCAGACAGAAGCATTCTGAGACACAACTTTGTGATGTGTGCATTCATCTCACAGAGATGAACCTTTCTTTTGATTGAAAAGTTTTGAAACACTCTTTTTGTAGGACCTGCAAGTGGATATTTGGAGTGCTTTTTGGCCTCTAGTGGAAAGGGAAATGTCTACACATAATAACTAGACAGAAGATTTCTGAGAAACTTCTTTGTGATTTGTGCATTTATCTCACAGATATAAACGTTTCTTTTGATTGAGCAGTTTTGAAAAACTCTTTTTGTAGAATATGCACGTTGATAATTGAAGCACTGTGAGGTGTACGGTGGAAAAGGAAATATCTTCACATAAAAACTAGACAGAAGCATTCTGAGAAACATCTTTGTGATGTGTTCATTCATCTCACAGAGTTGAACCTTTCTTTTGATTGAGCAGTTTTGAAACATTCTTTTTGTAGAATTTGCAAGAGGATATTTGGAGGGCTTTGAGGCCTATGGTGAAAAAGGAAATATCTTCACATCAAAATTAGAGAGAGGCTTTCCGAGAAACCTCTTTGTGATGTGGTCATTTATCTCACAAAGATGAAACTTACTTTTGATTGAGCAATATGGAAACTGTTTGTGGAATCTGCAAAGGGATATTTATGAGTGCTTTGAGGCCAGTTGTGAAAAAGGAAATGTATTCATATAAAAGGTACAAAGAAGGTTGCTTAGAAACAGCTTTGTGATGTGTGCATTGATCTCACAGAGGTAAAAGTTTATTTTCTCTGATTAGTCTGGAAACTCTGTTCTTCTACAATCTGCAAAGGGATATTTGTGAGTGCTTTGAGGCCTATGGTGAAAAAGGAAATATCTTCACATAAAAACTAGACAGAAGCTTTCTTAGTGGCTTCTTTGTGATGTGTGCAATCATCTCACAGAGTTGAACCATTGTTTTGATTGAACAGTCTGGAAACAATCTTTTTGTAGAATCTGCAAGGGATATTTGTCAGGACTTTGAGTGCTATGGTGAAAAAGGAAATATCTTCACATAAAAAATGGACAGAAGATTTCTGAGAAACCTCTTTGTGATGTGTGCATCCATCTCACAGAGTTCAAACATTTGTTTGATTGAGCAGTTGGGAAGCAGTCTTTTTGCAGAATCTGCAAAGGGATATTGCTGAGCACTTTGAGGCCCATGGTGAAAAAGGATATATCTTCACATAAAAACTATAAAGAAGGTTTCTGATAAACTTCTTTGTGATGTATGCATTCATCTCACAGAGTTGAACTATTTTTTTTTGATTGAGCAGTTTAGAAATAATCTTTTTGTAGAATCTGCAAAGGGATATTTTTGAGCACTTTGAGTCCTAGGGAGAAAAAAGAAATATCATCACATAAAAAGTATAAAGAAGGTTTCTGAGAAACAGTTTTATGATGTGTGCATACATCTAACAGAGTAAAACTTTTGTTTTCTTTGATAAGTCTGGAAATTCTGTTCTTGTAGAATCTGCTAAGGGATATTTGTGAGCAGATGGAGGCCTATGGTGAAAATGGAAATGTCTTCATATAAAAATTAGATAGAAGCCTCCTCTGAAACTTCTTAGTGATGTGTGCATTTATCTCACAGAGTTGAAACTTTCTTTTCATTGAGCCCTTTGGAAACAGTCTTTTTGTAGAACCTGCAAATGGATATTTCGAGCACTTTGAGGCCTATGGTGAAAAAGGAAATATGTTCATATAAAAACTAGACTGAAGGCTTCTGAGAAACTTCTTTGAGATGTGTGCATTCATCTCACAAAGTTCAATAATTTTTTTTATTGAGCGGTTTGGAAACAGTCTTTTTGTAGAACCTCCAAATGGATATTTGGAGCACTTTGAGGCCTATGGTGAAAATGGAAATATATTCACATAAAAACTAGACTGAAGGTTTCTGAGAAACTTCTTTGAGATGTGTGCATTCATTTCACAAAGTTCAATAATTGTTTTTATTGAGCGGATTGGAAACAGTCTTTTTGTAGAATCTGCAAAGAGATATTTGTGAGGGCTTTGAGACCTATGGTGAAAAAGGAAATATCTTCACGGAAAAACTATAAAGAAGGTTTCTGAGAAACTTCTCTGTGATGTGTGCATTCATCTCATACAGTTCAACCTTTCTTTTGATTGAGGAGTTTGGAAACAGTCTTTTTTAATATTCTTCAAGTGAATATACGTGAGCACTTTGAGGCTCATGGTGAAAAAGGAAACATTCACATAAAAATTTAATAGAAGCTTTCTGAGAAACTTCTTTTTGATGTGTGCATTCATCTCACAGAGTTGAACCTTTCTTTTGATGAGCAGTGTGGAAACAGACTTTTTGTAGAATCTGCAAAGGGACAATTTTGAGTGCTTTGTGTCCAGTGGTGAAAAAGGAAATACCTTCACATGAAAACTAGACAGAATGTTTCTGAGAAACTGCTTTGTGATATGTGCATTAATCTCCCAGATGTGTCTGTTTTCTGTTTCTTTTCATTGAGAAGATTGGAAACTCTTTTTTAGTAAAATCTGCAAAGGGATATTTGTGAGCCCTTTGAAGTCTATGGTGAAAAAGGAAACATCTTCACATAAAAACTACACAGAAGCTTTCTGAGAAACATCCTGGCTATGTGAGCATTCATCTCACAGAGTTGAAACATTTTTTTCATTGAGCAGTGTGTAAAGAGTCTTTTTGTAGAATCTGCAAAGGGATATTTGTGAATGTTTTGAGGCCTATGGTGAAAAAGGAAATATCTTCACATAAAAACTAGAGAGAAGGTTTCTGAGAAACCTCTTTGTGGTGTGCATATATCTCACAGAGTTGAACCTTTCTTTTGATTGAGCAATTTGGAAAAAGTATTTTTGTAGAATCTGTAAAGGGATATTTGTGAACACTTTGAGGCCTATGGTGAAAAAGCAAGTATCTTCACATAAAATCTAGACAGAAGCATTCTGAGAATCTTCTTTGCAATGTGTGCATTCATCACACAGAGTTGAACCTTTGTTTTGATTGAGCAGTTTGGAAACTCTTTTTGTAGAATCTGCAAATGGATATTTGGAGTGCTTTGAGGCCTATGGTGAAAAAGGAAATATATTCACGTAAAAACTAGACTGGAGGTTTCTGAGAAACTTCTTTGAGATGTGTGCATTCATCTCACAGTGTTCAATAATTGTTTTTATTGAGAGGTTTGGAAACAGTCTTTTTGTAGAATCTGCAAAAGGATATTTGTGAGGGCTTTGAGATGAGGCCTATGGTGAAAAAGGAAATATCTTCACAGAAAAACTATAAAGAAAGTTTCTGAGAAACTTATTTGTGATGTGTGCATTCATCTCACAGAGTTGAAACATTCTTTGGATTGAGCAGTTTGGAAACAGGCTTTTTGTACAATCTGCAAAGGGATATTTAGGAGTGCATTGAGGCCTATGGTGAAAAAGGAAATATCTTCACATAAAAACTAGACAGAAACATTCTGAGAAGCTGCTTTAAGATATGTGTAATCATCTCACGGGGTAAAGGTTTCTTTTCATTGAGCAGTTTGTAAACTCTGTTATTCTAGAATCTACAAAGGGATATTTTTGAGTGCTTTGAGACCCACGTTGAAAAAGGAACTATCTTCACATAAGAACTAGTGAGAAGCTTGCTGAGAAACTACTTTCTGATGTGTGCATTCATCTCACAGAGTTGAAACTTTCTTTTGATTGAGCAGTTAGGAAACAGTCTTTTTGTAGATTCTGCAAAGGTATATTTGGGAGTGCATTGAGGCCTATGTTCAAAAAGGGAATATCTTCACATAAAAACGAGAAGGAAGTTTTCTGAGAAACTTCTTTGTGATGTGCACATTCGTCTCACAGGGTTGAACCATTCTGTTTATTGAGCAGTTTGGAAACAGTCTTTTCATAGAATCTGCAAAGGGATATCTGGGAGTGCATTGAGGCATATGGTGAAAAAGGAAATATCTTCACATAAAAAGTAGAAAGAAATTTTCTGAGTAACTCCTTTGTGACGTGTGCATTCATCACACTCAAGTAAAACTTTCTTCCCATTGAGCAGTTAGTTTTTATGTGAAGATATTTCCGTTTTCACCATAGACCTCAAACCGCCTATATATATCCCTTTTCAGATTCTACAAAAAGACTGCTTCCAAATGGCTCAAACCAAGCTTCCACTCTGTGAGATGAATGCTCACATCACAGAGAAGTTTCTCAGAAATTTTCCGTCTAGTTTTTATTTGTTGATACTTCCTTTTTCACCATAGGCCTCAAACCGCTCATAAATAACCCTTTGCAGATTCTACAACAAGACTGTTTCCAAACTAATCAATCAAAAGAAAGTTTCAACTCTGGGAGGTGAATGCACACATCACAAAGAAGTTTCTCAGAAAGCTTCTGTCTAGTTTTTATTTGAAGATGCTTCCTTTTTCAATATAGGCCTCAAAGTGCTCACAAACGTCCCTTTACAGATTTTACAAAAAGACTGCTCCCAAACTGCTCAACTGAAACAAAGCTTCAACTCTTTTAGATGAATGCACGCATCACAAAGAAGTTTCTCAGAAAGCTTCCGTCCAGTTTTTATGTGAAGATATTTCCTTTTTCACCATAAGTCTCAAAGCATTCAAATTATCACTTTGTAGATTCTACAAAAATACATTTTCCAACCTGCTCTATCTAAAGAAAAGTTCAATGCTGTGAGAAGAACACACACATCAAAAGAAGTTTCACAGAATGCTTCTGTCTAGTTTTTATGTGAAGACATTTCCTTTTTCACCATAGGCCAAAAAGGGATCCCAAATATCCCTTTGTACATTCTACAAAAGGACTGTTTCCAAACTGCTCAATCCAAAGACAGGTTCAACTCTTTGGGATGAATGCACACATCACAATGAAGTTTCTCAGAAGGCTTCTGTCTAGTTTTTGTGTGAAGATATTTCTTTTTTCACCATAGGCTTCAAAGGGCTCACAAATATCGCAAAGCAGATTCTACAAAAAGACTCTATCCAAACTGGTCAATGAAAAGAACACTTGAAATCTGTGAGATGAATGAGCACATCACAAAGAATTTTCTAAGAAAGCTTCTGTCTGGTTTTTATGTTAAGATATTTCCATTTTCACCATAGACCTGAAACTGCCTACATATATCCCTTTGCAGATTCTACAAAATTATTATTTCCAAACTACCTAATCAAAGAAAGCTTTCTACTCTCTGAAGTGAATGCACACATCACAGAGAAGTTTCTCAGAAAGTTTCTGTCTAGTTCTTATTGGTCGATACTCCCTTGTTCACCATAGGTCTCAAGCTGCTGATAAATAACCCTTTGCAGATTCTACAAAAGGACTGTTTCCAAATTGCTCAATCAAACGAAAGTTCAGCTGTGTGAGATGAATGCACACATTACAAAGAAGTTTCTCAGGATGTTTCTGTCTAGTTTTTATGTGAAGATACTTCTTTTTCACCATAAGCCTCAAAGCATCACAAATTTTCCTTTGCAGATTCTACAAAAAGACTGTTTCCAAGCTGCTCAATCAAAAGAAAGGTTCAACTCTGTGTGATGAATGCACACATCACAAAGAATTTTCTCAGAAGGGTTCTGTCTAGATTTTATTTGTGGATATTTCCTTTTTCACAATAGGCCTCAAAAAGCTCACAAATATCCCTTTGCATATTCTACAAAAAGACTGTTTCCAAACTACTCAATGAAAGAAAATTCAACTCTGTAAGATAAATGCACAAATCACAAAGTGGTTTCTCAGAATGCTTCTGTCTAATTTTTATATGAAGATATTTCCTTTTTCACCACATGCCTCAAACCGCTCAAAAACATCCTTTTGCAGATTATCCAAAAAGATTGTTTCCAAACTGCTCAATCAAAAGAAAGATTCAACTCTTTGAGATGCATACACTCATCACAAAGAAGTTTCCCAGAAAACATGAGTCTAGTTTTTATATGAAGATATTTCCTTTTTCACCATAAGCCTCAAAGTGTTCACAAATATCACTTTGCAGTTTCTATGAAAAGACTGTTTCCAAACTGCTCAATCAAAAGAAAGTTTCAACCCTGTGAGATGAATGTACACATCACAAAGAAGTTTTTCAGAAAGCTGCTGTCTACATTTTATTTTTCGATATTTCCTTTTTCACCATAGGACTCAAACCACTGAAACATATCGCTTTGGTAGGGAGCCAAGATGGCCGAATAGGAACAGCTCCAGTCTACAGCTCCCAGCATGAGTGACACAGAAGACGGGTAATTTCTGCATTTCCATCTGAGGTACCAGGTTCATCTCACTAGGGAGTGCCAGACAGTGGGCACAGGTCAGTGGGTGCATGCACCATGCACGAGCCAAAGCAGGGTGAAGCATTGCCTTACTCAGGAAGCACAAGGGGTCAGGGAGTTCCCTTTCCTAGTCAAAGAAAGGGGTAACAGTTGGCACCTGGAAAATCGGGTCACTCCCACCCAAATACTGCACTTTTCTGACAGGCTTAAAAAACAGCACACCAGGAGATTATATCCCACTCCTGGCTTGGAGGGTCCTACGCCCATGGAGTCTCACTGATTGTTAGCACAGCAGTCTGAGCTCAAACTGCAAGTCTACAGTGAGGCTGGGGGAGGGGTACCTGCCATTGCCCAGGCTTGCTTAGGTAAACAAAGCAGCCAGGAAGCTCGAACTGGGTGGAGCCCACCATAGTTCAAGGAGGCCTGCTTGTCTCTGTAGGCTCCACCTCTGGGGGCAGGGCACAGACAAACAAAAAGACAGCAGTAACCTCTTCAGACTTAAATGTCCCTGTCTGACAGCTTTGAAGAGAGCAGTGGTTCTCCCAGCACGCAGCTGGAGATCTGAGAACAGGCAGACTGCCTCCTCAAGTGGGTCCCTGACCCTTGACCCCTGAGCAGCCTCCTTTTTCTTCACATGCCTGGTAATTTTCAGCTGGATGGCAGACAACGTGAAATTTATCTTATTGTGTGTTGGATATTGTTGGGTTCCTATAAATATTATTGAGCTATATTCTAGGATGCAATTAAATTATCTGGAAAGATTTTGGTTCTTTGAGGTTTTTCTTTGTGGTCTTGTTAAATAGGACCTTAGCAGCCTCATCCTAGATCTAATCTTCCACACGACTGAGGCAATTCTTTTCTGAGTGTTCCATCCAGTGGTCCGGGAAGTATAAGATTTGTCCACTGTTGCTGGTGGGAACACCAAATATGCCTGGTTCTGTGGGAGGTTCAAGCATTGGTCTTTCTGTTTCCTTTAGGTATTTTTTCCCCCAGACTTGTAGTTTACACACATACATGTGCTGAGCAGTATTTAGCTGAGGACTCTGGAGCTTTTTTGTTTTGTATCTTTGTCCTTTTCATTCCCTGAATACTCTGCCCTGCAGAGTTTATCTGAGCTTCTTTAGTCTCCCTGGACTCCCAGCTTCATCTCCTCAACTCAGAACCATCACCAGGCTCAGCCTGGGTTCTCCCTTCTTGAGCTGTGGCCTAGAAACTGTTTGCCTTCTGGTCACCACACCTGGGCAGTCCAGAGTCAGGAGAAACCCTAGGCCATGTGGCAGAATGCCCACTGTCCCCACTTCACCACACTCTACTCTCTCCATCCATTGCTAGCTGCAGCCACGCTGTCTCACAGTCCAGAATGCTAGCCAGAGACCAAGCTTTCTGCAGTGCCTTGGCTGGGGCTCACAGATAAGGATGGCCAAGCAGTGCTCCCAGAAGCCAGCAGATTACATCAATCAGTTTTACATCCACCAGGCACTGAGAATCTCTGGACACCAGAAGTGTCCTCTGTTGCCAGAGATGAACTCTCAAGTGAAGACTCCAGAAGGCCCTGAAATGTGGGCAGGCCCCCATTATTGCCTGTCTGTGGCCACAAGGACACAGACTCTTTCCATGGCTGGTGAGATGTCCAGCACACTGGGGGCTCTGGAAAGCCCCTTTTCAACTTTAGGCCTTAGCTGAGCTCTCCATTTACCTCAGACAAGGCAGTGCACATTATGGGGGACACCGCTGGGTGCTGGGATGAGAATGGGACTTGGCATGTGAGCTAGGATTGAGAGCCCACCCCTCTCTTCCCCAGTGAGGTGGTGGCCAGTTACCATCTCTGGCTTCTGTCCCCTTACCAGCCTCCTCTGCTACGATTGCATTTCTGGCAGGCAGTGGATCAGGGAAGCACCGGCAGTTGAGGACCATGTGGAGAACCACTACTGGCCAAGCATTCCCAACCTGAGAGCAGAACAGGAGTACAGCAGTGCTGAGGTGAACTTGACAGAGAACTTTGAGACCATGAAGGCAGCCAACACTTCCAACTTATCACAACCTGCCTCTGACATAGATTTATTGTGGAAGAACTCAACCATCTCCCTGTCACCAAAAAATGGTCCTCACTCTAAACCATCACCCTTGGATTTAGATCATGAGGCTGTCCTGTCTTTAGTATGGAACTGAAAAGCTTTAATTTCCACAAAAATGTAAGGTTTTGGGCTACAGCCTTATTAAAACAAACAAATATGAGCATCGTGGTCTACAGATGGAATATCTGGGGCTCTAAACAAACTGCTACTTGAAAGTATAATCACTGTCTTTTTGTTTGTTTCTTTAGCCTGGTAGGACAATGTCAGAAATTTCCTTGGTCATAAGGAATATAAAATATAGTTTGAACAAAAGCAGCAATAAAGCTACAAACTATTTTTTGGTGTATTTGCTTAAGTATAAGATAGCTGATTAGGGCTTTATCATGTAACGTTAGTTTGCTTAGTTTTCATTAAGTTTGTTAAACTTGAATTGTGAATAAATATATGGCAGATTCATATTGTAATTAAACTGCACATTGACATAAACTGTACATTAAAAGTTGCTGCACACTGTCATCCAAAATAATACTTAGGTAAAACCAAAAATACTATAAACCAATGTCAAGGAACCTACCCTAAAATAAAAACACAGTTAACATGGAATTGCAAAACTAGAATGGGAGAAATATTTACCCATAAAATCTTGTTTGGAACATTGATATAACACTAGAAAATAATTTTGCTAAATAACCACAATGTTCAACAGTGACTGTGCACCTGTGAAGACCAAGCATTTTGAATCATTGCCCTGTGGTGTGTGGCAGTACAATTTTACAGAAATGCACTACAATAATTAATACATTTCTCTAATGGGAAGATTTTAATGAATAAGTATTTACACTATTAATATTTATAATATTGGTGCTATTATTTCACAAAAAAAGCTGTATTACAGCCTTTAAAAGCAAATAATAGCCTTACAGTTCTAAATAAAGAAAAAATATAAATTTTATGAAATATGGTTAAGGGTAATTGATAAAATAAAAATTGGGGCATAAGTTATATTATAGTTTGGATAGAAGTTGAAGAAAGTGGATGAAAATTTTAATGAACGCTTTTTTCCTGCACTAAACTTAATCTTATAGGTGAACATTATAATATATAAGGGTACCTTCTAGCTATCTAATTTACCTTTTACACAATGTATAAATCCTAGCCTATTGGTCTTAATATTTGAACCTAAAATAACGCACAAACATACAAGAGAACAAAATAAGGAAGAAATGTATGGAGACAGTGATATTATCAAGGTGATGGAATATGGGGTCCCTACTTTTGTATTCCCCTGCAGTAATAAAAACTAGTCAGCCATCCATCAACCAAAGTAACTTTATGAGAGATCCAGGCACAATGGCTCATGACAGTGATCTCCTCCATTCAGGAACCTGAGGCGGGAGGACTGCTTCAGGCCAGGCGTTCAAGAACAGCCTGGGCAATATAGTGAGCTTTGGGATACAGGGCATTATGAAACCTTGCTAAAACCCAAGATCAAAAAGAGTCATTTTGAGAAGCCAGGCCCTTTGGTTAATAAGGTGTCATATTATCCAAAGCAATTTGTAAGTTAACTCAAATCCCTATCAAAATCCCTGTCCCACTTTTTATAGTAATAGAAAATGCAAACCTACAATGTAGGCTGAATGGCCAAGCCAATAATGAGGAATAAGAAAAAAGCTGGGGACATCATACTCGTGACTCACACAAAACAGCTCAAAAGTCACTGTTTGTAGACAACCTGGGGAACACCTGCTAGGTACTCAGTGGGAGCCACACTCACCTACACATCTGCTATTAGGCCCAGCATATAGCAGAACCTGCCCTATTGCCTGCTCCACAAAACAAAGCCCTGAAGACAATCCAGCCTGCCACAAAACATGACAGAACTCACAACCACATGTGCTCCTGGTAACAAGCCCACTAAAGGTAAAACCCACTTCAGATTCAGCAGCCACCTTGTGATGCAGCTACAAGCCTTTTTACTGCAAACCCAGTAAAGATCTCATCAGCCTTGAGACCCAACAGATGAAGATCTTTACCTATTAAAACCAGTTTATAAAAATGAAAAGAGCTGGCTGGGCACGGTGGCTCACACCTGTAACCCCAGCACTTTGGGAGGACGAGGTGGGTGGATGACGAGTTCAGGAGTTCAAGACCAGCCTGGCCAATATGGTGAAACACTGTCTCTACTAAAAATTCAAAAATTAGCCGGGCATTGTGGTTGGCACCTGTAATCCCAACTACTCGGGATGCTGAGGCAGAGAATTGCTTGAACCCAGGAGGTGGAGGTTGCAGTGAGCCAAGTTTGTGCCACAGCACTCCAGCCTGGGTGACAGAGCGAGTCTCCGTCTCAAAAACAAAACAACAACAACAACAAATGAAAAGAGGTGTTTGCTCCTTCAAATGCGCAAACACCAATGCAAGTCTATATTATGCCCATTCTAACGGTTCTATTTTAACGTAGAACAGGAAGTCCTACGTAGAATAATTAAGTCCTACGTCAAATAATTAAGCAAGAAAAGCTAAAAGATCCAAATTGAAAAGAAGAAATAACGTCACTGTTTGTAGATGACATAATGTTATATATAAAAAATATAAATAGTACATTTAAATACTGCATTTAATGCATCTATATATAAATAGTGCATCTAATAAATGCACTCAGTAAAGAAGCAGAATATACAATTAACATACAAATATCAGTTTTGTTTCTATATGCTAGCAACAAACTAGTAAAAAAGAAAAAAAATCTCATTTACAATAGCAACAAAATAATAGATTTCTTAGCAATAAATTTAACAAACGTGGTGAAAGAGCTTTACAATAAAAAATAAAATATATTGATAAAAATATTAAAGAAGATACAAATAAATGTAAATATATTACATGTTTATGGATTAGAAGAATATTGTCTAAGCGCCATGTTATCCAAAGTAATCTGTAGATTAATTCAACTTCCTATCAAAATTCCTGTGCCACTTTTTACAGTAATAGAAAATAAAGTCTGCAATGTATATAAAACTATAAGAAATATTGAAAGGCCAAAGAAATCAAGAGGAATAAAAAGAAATCTGGGGACATTATACTTTATTATTTAAAACTACATTTCAAGACTACAGTAAACATAATAGAATGGATTGTTTATAGGAACAAACACAAAAACCAATGGAACAGAATACAGAGCCCAGAAGTATATCTATGCATCTAAAGTTAATCTTTGACAAGGGCACTATGAATACGCAATACAAAAAGTGTAGCCTTTTCAATACTTAGGGCTGGGAAAACTGGGTACTCGCAAGCACAATAAATAAAACTTGATCATATTTCTTACGCCAGACATAAAAATTGACTTAAAATAAAGACTTAAATTTAATACATAAATCCTTAAAAGAAAATCTTTTAAAAAGCATATGAAAAGCCTCCATGATACTGGCCTTGGCAATTTTTTTAAAATACGATATCAAAAGTATAGTAATAAAACCAGAAATAAAGTTGTAGTGTATTAAACTATTGTGCACAGCAAAAAATAAGAAAACATTTAAGATGGGATAAAATATTTGCAAACTATATATGATAAGACATTAGTATTCAAAATATAGCAGAAACTCATACAAATCAGAAGCTAAACAATGCTAATTATAATACCCAACTAAAAAATATGCAAAAGACTAAACATTATTTTTTAACATTATTATACTTTAACTTTTAGGGTACAAGTGCACAACATGCAGGTTTGTTACATATGTATACATGTGCCATGTTGCTTTGCTGCACCCATTAACTCATCATTTAGCATTAGGTATATCTCCTAATGCTATCTTTCCCCCCTCCCACACCCCACAACAGGCCCCGGTGTGTGATGTTCCCTTTCCTGTGTCCATGTGTTCTCATTTTTCAGTTCCCACCTATGAGTGAGAACATGTGGTGTTTGGTTTTTAGATCTTGTGATAGTTTGCTGAGAATGATGGTTTCCAGCTTCATCGATGTCCCTACAAAGGACATGAACTCATCATTTTTTATGGCTGCATAGTATTCCATGGTATATATGTGCCACATTTTCTTAATCCAGTCTATCATTGTTGGACATTTGTGTTGGTTCCAAGCCTTTGTTATTGTGATAGTGCCGCAATCAACATATGTGTGCATGTGTCTTTATAGAAGCGTGATTTATAATCCTTTGTGTATATACCCAGTAATGGGATGGCTGGGTCAAATGGTATTTCTAGTTCTAGATCCCTGAGGGATCGCCACACCGACTTCCACAATGGTTGAACTGGTTTACAGTCCCACCAACAGTATAAAAGTGTTCCTATTTCTCCACATCCTCTCCAGCACCTGTTGTTTCCTGACTTTTTAATGATCACCATTCTAACTGATGTGAGATGGTATCTCATTGTGGTTTTGATTTGCATTTCTCTGATGGCCAGTGATGATGAGCATTTTTTCATGTGTTTTTTGGCTGCATAAATGTCTTCTTTTGAGAAGTGTCTGTTCATATCCTTCGCCCACTTGTCGATGGGGTTGTTCGTTTTTTTCTTGTTAATTTGTTTGAGATCATTGTAGATTCTGGTTATTAGCCCTTTGTCAGATGAGTAGATTGCAAAATTTTTCTCCCTTTCTGTATGTTGCCTGTTCACTCTGATGGTGGTTTCCTTTGCTGTGCAGAAGCTCTTTAGTTTAATTAGATCCCATTTGTCAATTTTGGCCTTTGTTGCCATTGCTTTTGGTGTCTTAGACATGAAGTCCTTGCCCATGCCTATGTCTTGAATGGTATTGCCTAGGTTTTCTTTTAGTATTTTTATGGTTTTAGGACTAACATGTAAGCTTTAATCCATCTTGAATTAATTTTTGTATAAGGTGTAAGGAAGGGATCCAGTTTCAGCTTTCTACATATGGTTAGCCAATTTTCCCAGCAGCATTTATTAAATAGGGAATCCTTTCCCCATTGCTTGTTTTTCTCAAGTTTGTCAAAGATCAGATAGTTGTATACATGTGGCATTATTTCTGAGGGCTCTGTTCTGTTCCATTGATCTATATCTCTGTTTTGGTACCAGTACCATGCTGTTTTGCTTACTGTAGCCTTGTAGTATAGTTTGAAGTCAGGTAGCGTGATGCCTCCAGCTTTGTTCTTTTGGCTTAGGATTGACTTGACAATGCAGGCTCTTTTTTGGTTCCACATGAACTTTAAAGTAGTTTTTTCCAATTCTGTGAAGAAACTCATTGGTAGCTTGATGGGGATGGCATTGAGTCCCTAAATTACCTTGGGCAATATGGTAATTTTCACAACATTGATTCTTCCTACCCACGAGCATGGAATTTTCTTCCATTTGTTTGTATCCTCTTTTATTTCATTGAGCAGTTGTTTGTAGTTCTCCTTGAAGAGGTCCTTCACTTCCCTTGTAAGTTGGATTCCTAGGTATTTTATTCTCTTTGAAGCTATTGTGAATGGGAGTTCACTCATGATTTGGCTCTCTGTTTGTCTGTTATTGGTGTATAAGAATGCTTGTGATTTCTGCACATCGATTATGTACCCTGAGACTTTGCTGAAGTTGCTTATCAGCTTAAGGAGATTTTCGGCTGAGACAACAGGGTTTTCTATACATACAATCATGTCATCTGCCAACAGGGACAATTTGACTTCCTCTTTTCCTAATTGAATGCCTTTTATTCCCTTCTCCTGCCTGATTGCCCTGGCCAGAACTTCCAACACTATGTTGAATAGGAGTGGTGAGAGAGGGCATCCCTGTCTTGTGCCAGTTTTCAAAGGGAATGCTTCCAGTTTTTGTCCATTCAGTATGATAGTGGCTGTGGGTTTGTCATAGATAGCTCTTATTTTGAGATACATCCCATCAATACCTAATTTATTGAGAGGTTTTAGCATGAAGCGTTGCTGAATTTTGTCAAAGGCCTTTTCTGCATCTATTGAGATAATCTTGTGGTTTTTGGCTTTGATTCTGTTTACATGCTAGATTACATTTATTGATTTTTGTATGTTGAACCAGTCTTGTATCCCCAGGGATAAAGCCCATTTGATCATGGTGGATAAGCTTTTTGATGTGTTGCTGGATTCAGTTTGCCGGTATTTTATTCAGGATTTTTGTGTCAATGTTCATCAAGGATATTGGTCTAAAATACTCTTTTTTTTTGTTTTGTCTCTGCCAGGCTTTGGTATCAGGATGATACTGGCTTCATAAAATGAGTTAGGGAGGATTCCCTCTTTTTCTATTGATTGGAATAATTTCAAAAGGAATGATACCAGCTCCGCCTTGTACCTCTGGTAGAATTTGGGTGTGAATCCATCTGGTCCTGGACTTTTTTTGGTTGGTAAGCTATTAATTATTGCATCAATTTCAGAGCCTGTTATTGGTTTATTCAGAGATTCAACTTCTTCCTGGTTTAGTCTTCGGAGAATGTATGTGTCGAGGAATTTATCCATTTCTTCTAGATTTTCTAGTTTATTTACGTAGAGGTGTTTATAGTATTCTCTGATGATAGCTTGTATTTCTGTGGGATCAGTGGTGATATCCCCTTTGTCATTTTTTATTGGGTCTATTTGATTCTTCTCTCTTTTCTTTATTAGTCTTGCTAGCAGTCTATCAATTTTGTTGATCTTTTCAAAAAAAAACCAGTTCCTGGATTCATTGATTTTTTGAAGGGTTTTTTGTGGTTCTATTTCCTTCAGTTCTGCTCTGATCTTAGTTATTTCTCGCCTTCTACTAGCTTCTCAATGTGTTTGCTCTTGCTTCTCTAGTTCTTTTAATTGTGATGTTAGGGTGTCAATTTTAGATATTTCCTGCTTTCTCTAGTGGGCATTTAGTGCTATACATTTCCTTCTACACACTGCTTTGAATGTGTCCCAGACATTCTGGTATGTTGTGTCTTTGCTCTTGTTGGTTTCAAAGAACATCTTTATTTCTACCTTCATTTCGTTATGTACCCAGTAGTCATTCAGGAGCAGGTTGTTCAGTTTCCATGTAGTTGAGCGGTTTTTAGTGAGTTTCTTAATCCTGAGTTCTAGTTTGATTTCACTGTGGTCTGAGAGACAGTTTGTTGTGGTTTCTGTTATTTTACATTTGCTGAGGAGTGTTTTACTTTCAACTATGTGGTCAATTTTGGAGTATGTGTGGTATGGTGCTGAAAAGAATGTATATTCTGTTGATTTGGGATGGAGAGTTCTGTAGATGCCTATTAGGTCCGCTTGGTGCAGAGCTGAGTTCAATTCCTGGATATCCTTGTTAACTTTCTGTCTTGTTGATCTCTCTAATGTTGACAGTGTGGTGTTAAAATGTCTGATTATTGTTTTGTGGTAGTCTAAGTCTCTTTGTAGGTCACTAAGGACTTGCTTTATGAATCTCGGTTCTCCTGTATTGGATGTATATATATTTATGATCGTTAGTTCTTTTTGTTGAATTGCAGCACCCTGATGGGTCTTGACTCTTTATCCAATTTGCCAGTCTGTGCCTTTTAATTCGAGCATTTAGCCCGTTTACATTTAAGGTTAGTATTGCTAAGTGTGAATTTGATCCTGTCATTATGATGTTTGCTGGTTATTTTGCTCATTAGTTGATGCAGTTTCTTCCTAGCCTCGATGGTATTTACAATTTGGCATGTTTTTGCAGTGGCTGGTACCGGTTGTTCCTTTCCACGTTTAGTGCTTCCTTCAGGAGCTCTTTTAGGACAGGTCTGGTGGTGAAAAAATCTCTCAGCATTTGCTTATCTGTAAAGGATTTTATTTCTCCTTCACTTATGAAGCTTAGTTTGGCTGGATATGAAATTCTGTGTTGAAAAATCTTTTCTTTAAGAATGTTGAATATTGGCCCCCACTCTCCTCTGGCTTGTAGAGTTTCTGCCGAGAGATCTGCTGTTAGTCTGATGGGCTTCCCTTTGTGGGTAACCCGACCTTTCTCTCTGGCTGCCCTTAACTTCTTTTCCTTCATTTCCACTCTGGTGAATCTGACAATTATGTGTCTTGGAGTTGCTCTTCTCGAGGACTGTCTTTGTGGCATTCTTTGTATTTCCTGAATTTGAATGTTGGCCTGCCTTGCCAGATTGGAGAAATTCTCCTGGATAATATCCTGATTGTTTTCCAACTTGGTTCCATTCTCCCCGTCACTTTCACATACATCAATGAGACATAGATTTGGTCTTTTCACACAGTCCCATATTTCTTGGAGGCTTTGTTCATTTCTTTTTATTATTTTTTCTCTAAACTTCTCTTCATGCTTCATTTCATTCATTTCATCTTCCATCGCTGATACCGTTTCTTCCAGTTGATTGCATCAGTTACTGAGGCTTGTGCATTTGTCACGTAGTTCTTGTGTCATGGTTTTCAGCTCCATCAGGTCCTTTAAGGACTTCTCTGCATTGGTTATTCTAGTTATACATTCGTGTACTTTTTTTTTTCAAAGTTTTTAACTTCTTTGCCATTGGTTTGAACTTCCTCCTTTAGCTCAGAGTAGTTTGATCTCCTGAAGCCTTCGTCTCTCAACTCATCAAAGTCATTCTCTGTCCAGCTTTGTTCTGTTGCTGGTGCAGAGCTGTGTTCCTTTGGAGGAGGAGAGGTGCTATGATTTTTAGAGTTTCCAGTTTTTCTGCTCTGTTTTTTCCCCATCTTTGTGGTTTTATCTATCTTTGGTCTTTGATGATGGTGACGTACAGATGGGTTTTTGGTGTGGATGTCCTTTCTGTTTGTTAGTTTTCCTTCTAACAGACAGGACCCTCAGCTGCAGGTCTGCTGGAGTTTACTGGAGGTCCACTCCAGACCGTTTGCCTGGGTATCAGCAGTGGAGGCTGCAGAACAGCGGATATTGGTGAACTGCAAATGCTGCTGTCTGATGGTTCCTCTGGAATTTTTGCCTCAGAGGAGTACCCGGTCCTGTGCAGGGTCAGTCCACCCCTACTGGAGGGTGCCTCCTTGTTAGGCTACTCAGGGGTCAGGGACCCACTTGAGGAGGCAGTCTGCCCATTCTCAGATCTCAACCTGTGTGCTGGGAGAACTACTACTCTCTTCAAAGCTGTGGGACAAGGAAAATTATGTCTGCAGAAGTTTTTGCTGTCTTTTATTTGTCTGTGCCCTGCCCCCAGAGGTGGAGCCTACAGAGGCAGGCAGGCCTCCTTGAGCTGCGGTGGGCTCCACCTAGTTCGAGTTTCCCAGCTGCTTTGTTTACCTACTCAAGCCTGAGAAATAGTGGGCAACCCTCCCCCAGGCTCACTGCCACCTTGGAGTTCAATCTCAGACTTCTGTGCTAGCAATGAGTGAGGCTTCGTGGGCATAGGACCCTCCGAGCGAGGTGCAGGATATAATCTCTTGGTGTGCTGTTTGGAAGCCGGTTGTAAAAGCACAGTATTAAGGTGGGAGTGACCCGATTTTCCAGTTGCCATCTGTCACCCCTTTCTTTGAGGAGGAAAGGGAATTCCCTGACCCCTTGTGCTTCCCAGGTGAGGTGATGCTTTGCCCTTCTTTGGCTCATGCGTGGTGGGCTGTACCCACTATCCTGCACCCACTGACCAGCACTCCCCAGTGAGGTGAGCCTGGTACCTTAGTTGGAAGTGCAGAAATCACCCATCTTGTGCGTCACTCAAGCTGTGAGCTGTAGACCAGAACTGTTCCTATTTGGCCATCTTGGCTCCACCAACCAATACTAAATATTTTTTACAAACATATTCAAATGGCCAACAGGTGTGTAGAAAGACGCTAAACATTACCATCCATGAAAAAATTGCAAATAAAAAGATACAACTTTAGAGCAGTTGGAATGGCTATCAAAAAAATAAATATGACAAGTGTTAACAAGGATGTGACAAAATATTTCTGTACAGTCTTAATGAGGTGCAAACTGGAAGAGTCATTATGAAAATTAGTTTGCAGGTCATTTTAAAAAATAGAACTATTGTACAATCCCGAAATTCCACTTCTGTCTATAAACAAATTAAAATCAGCATCTCAAAAATAATCTTCACCCCTATATTCAATGCAGCGTTATTCACAACTGTCAAGGGTATTTTTTTTAAATGACTTATCTGTAGATGCTGAATGGATAAGGAAAATATGGTATAAATAGACAACCGAATATTATTCACCCATAAAAAAGAATGAAATTCTGCTATTTCAAGGCCATGAATGGACCTGGGTACATTATGCTACGCAAAATAAGCCAGGCACAGAAAGGCAAACACTGTATGTTCTCACTTAAGTGGACAATTTAAAAAGCCTGAACTCATAGAAGCAGAGAGTACAATGGTAATGACCAGGCCTGGAGGTAGAAAAAATGATAAGGTGTTCAAAGAGTTCAAACTTCCAGTTATAAGATAAATAAGTTTTGGGGGTCTAATGTATAGCTTTAAGATGTAGTTAATAACAGTGTTTTCTATGCTTAAAATTTGCTGCAACAGTAGGATACCTCAAATTCTCTCACTACAAAAAACATAACCATGTGAGGTGACATAAATGTTCATCACCTTAATTGTATTAAACATCTTACAATATATATACATATCAAATTTTTATAATGTACACTATACATAATTATGCAATTTTTATTGGTCAGAAAATTAATGTTATGTACACATGCATATATTCACATAAGTGTGTATATACACATATATAAAGCTTATACATATATATCAATTACATATGTTGTTATGTATATACTTGTGTGTGTGTATATATATATGCATACATATCAATGAAAAAATCCTAGTAAGCTTCAAACTAAACAAGAGAAAATTATAAAATGATAACTAGTTAAAAAACAGGAAACAAATGGGTATTTAATACATGCTCAGCAATATTCTGACTTCCTCAATGGCAAAGTACATGTTTTAAATGAAGAAAGTAGATACTTTAAACCATATTACAGTTTAGGAATTATGGCACAGAGTGTTTACAATATTAGCCTCAATACATACCAAAAACTTAAAATTTTGAAGTAAAATAACATTAGGTTTTACTATATGGGGCAGATGCTTAGTGTTCTGATAAAATTATTGAGTATGAATTTCTGTAGAATCACATTTGAAACCTTCACAGGATATGAAATTATAAAGCAGAAAACATAAGACATCTGGATGTGGTGTTTCTGGGATTTCTAAACCAAATCCCAATATCTCCACTACTCTCACACATTTTAGACAAGACTCAAAATGGAAATTAGAAAATGTTTAACATAGAGTTCCTTAAAAATCACAGACGGCCCCATGTCCTCAAAAGGAATGAAAGAGCAAGCAGCCAGGTCCTCCAGTCCCTTGTAAGCCATGCAAAGGGCTTTGATCTTCTTTGTAACCTAGAAGAATGATCATTGAAGGGGAAGTCCAGTCCTAGAAAATTGAAAAGCATGGGGCAGAGGATGTCAGTCTCTAATGAAAGCAAGAGAAAGAAATCAGGGCTTTGCAGAAAAGGTTGCCATTGGAGTTTAGCTTCGCAAACCACACTTTAAGATCTGGCTTTCTCCTTGACCTTTGGACATCTCGTCTGTGTCATCTGCCTTATTCACTCCCACCTATTTGGATGTTTGGCTACTATCTCCTGTCTCCTCACACTCTGGGTTTTTTTTTTTTTTTTCTCAATGTAGGTGATCAGGTTTAGCTTAGAGAGCAGCTGAGGACTCTGTATTAGAAAAAGTAATATGACTTATGCTGTGATTTTCCAATTACTACTTAGTACTGTGTTCAGTGGAAAAAAACAGAACATTATAAAAGAGTCTAAAAATGTAATACCAAATACTATTTCCTCACAGAAACGTTATGATATTTAAAAACTTTTCTAAATTTGTGGGTCCTTAGCTCCATGACCCAGTGTTGGTGAAACAAAACTTGGTGGTGGTTGGCTGGGCATGGTGACTCACACCGCTGATCCCAGCACTTTGAGAGGCCAAGGCAGGCAAATCACTTAAGCCCAGGAGTTTGAGGTCAGCCTGGGCAACATGGCGAGACCTAGTGTACAGGTTGAGGGTGGGGAGGAGGGGAAAGGTGGTGGTAATGGGAGGGGGTAATGCGATTATAAGCTATGGGCAACCATATTTTGTGCCTCTAAATTTGTGGAGTTACCACTAATCTAAAATTAAGGATACAGATCAGCTGAGGAAAGAAAAAGATTTATGTCGAGATGAAACTTCCTCGTGGGGATCCACAACTGCAATACTGCCAGGCCACAGCATCCCACCTCTTTCGCCTGGCTGCAGCCCCACCAGGAGCCCGGCTCCAGCCGGGGCGCTGCGGCACGTACTAGACCCGGAAGGCGCAGGCGCGGGTTTCCTGCCCTTCAGGGTGTCTTCCCACTCCCCGGACCACAGGCATTTCAATTCATTCATCAATTGCCGCCGCAACCATCCAAGTTGGAGCAGCAGGTCCCACAGTTGCCAGCCAAGACCTCCGCTCCAGAAACCATGGGATGCTTTCCCCGGGGGAAGGATATTGTCTTCGCCAGCCACGAAGAAATCCGTCCCTGTGCACCTTGTTTCCCATTGCCACCGACTTCGTGTAAACTGTAGTCCCGAGGACACGAGAGATACACAGACCTGGCCCCGTGGACACGCTCTGTGCCACGGCTTCCACCAGACGGATGGGTGCACTCTACAAATCTCGGGGCCCACAGCACCAAGGAGACAGAAAAAAGCAAACAAAGGAAGGACCCTATGAAACGCACCCCCAAAGCAACCAACCAATCCAAGAAAAAAAAAAAACACGTCTCAGGGCTCCGCTGGCTTTCCCGCGTGGGCGGCCCTGACCCCCTGTTCTAGCCTGGCCTAAGCACCCTCCACCTCACCCCAGCCTGCTCAAAGTGCTCTGTCTACCTGAGCAGAGCCTCCCTCTCCAAGGTTCTGTCTCTCTTGCTCTGCAACTCCCTCACCCTCTCCCTTTCTCTACTTCACCCTCCACCTCTCACTCTTCTGTTACCTTCTGTCTCTCTCCCCCTGCAACTTTCTCTCTCTCCCCCCATTTCTATCTCTCCATCCCGGTCTCCCTAGCTCTCTTTCAAGCTGTGTCTGTGTCTTTGTCTGTATGTCCTTGTGTGTGTTTCAGTGTGTGTCCGTGTGCGTGTGTCCATGTGTCTGTGTGTGAGTCTTTGTGTGTCCATGTGTGTGTGTCTGTGTGTTGTGTGTGTCCCTGTGTGTGCGTGTGTGCCTGTGCGCGTGCACCCGTGTGTATCTGTGTGTGTGTCTGTGTGGGTTTGCTCGTGGTGGTGGTGTGGTGTGTCTGGGTGTCTGTCAGCCCCTCTTTCCCGGGATCAGGCTGCTGGGGCTCTAGTGCCAGCGCGGGGCAAAGTAGGGCCTTCCTGTCCTGTTGGCCACTGGCGGGTCTTCGTTGGAAGAAGCGACGATGGTGTGGGCGTTGTGAGAAAAAGGCCCCGTGGGGCTGGGCCGGCTGTTCGCCCCTGGGCAGCCCTGGCGGCTGTTCTCTGTGTGTGGGGCAAGAGGGGGCCTTGCAAGAAGGGCGGCGAGGGATCCAAAACAATTTTTCCGTGGCAAGGCGGAGGACCAGAGGTGATCCCAGGACTGTGGGCCCCGGGCCCTGACGCCTCGGAGCACACCCTGTCCTGAGCCAGCCCGATATATTGGAAGCTCGGGAGCTCGCGAGCTGGGGGAAGGCCTGGAATGTGAGTGAAAGAGAGGCCGCCTGATGGGCCTTGAGCCTGGGCAGGGGACTGAGGCATTACGGCCTGACGACGGATTCCTGTTTCCTGCAACATGGGGAGTCTCCAAAATGGCCTGTTTGGAAACGAAAGGAGAGCGAAGACACGATGCTGCTTTTCCAAGCTTCACTGGAGGTTTCTGTGTCCCCACAGAGCTCGGGAAACAAACAGTCAACATGGTAACGCTTTCGGGGTCCAGAGACACGTGAGCAACAGGCCCCCTTGCAGAAGGCAAAGGAACGTGGAATCCGGAATCATGGTTCACTCGGCTTGAGTGTGACTCCTGTGTGGATGGGAGTATCTGCCTCGCGCTCTGTTGTAGGCTCAGCGTGGGGAGGCTCACATGTCATCTGTGAACCATGTGGATGAAAAACGGACAACAATTCGAGTCTCGGCTCTGCTCTTTGGGGAATTCGCTCATTCCTTGGGAGGCGGAATTCGTCTGAATCGCTCCCGGGTGAAGTAACCCAGGCTGGAGATCCCGAGGGCGGGTGAGCACACCGCCGGCCGATGCGGCCGTGGGCCGAGCACACAGACTGCACTGGGCACCCAAGATTTTCCCGGAGTTCGAGGTCCTGCTGGTCCTGGTGGCAGAAGACCGCTTTTCTCTTTTTGCCTTCCTTTCTCTGTTTCTTGCTCCTTTTCTCCCTCTGTCCATCCTTCCCTCTGTTCTTCCTTCTCTCCCTCTCTCCCTCCCTCCCTCTCTCCCTCCTTTCCTCTGTTCTTCTGTCCTTCCCTCTCTCCCTCCATCCATACCTCCCTTTCTCCCTCCTTCCCTCCCTCCCTTCCTCTCTTTTTCTTTCCCTCTCTCCCTCCCTCCATCTCTTCCAAGGTCTCTCCTTTCATCCGTCCTTTCCTCCCTCTGTCCCAACCTCTCACTTTTTCTCCGTTCCTTTCCCCATCTCTGCCTGGCTTTCCTCCCGCCTAGAAAGGGCAGAACCATGGTTTGCGCAAGATCTCGGGGTCTACATTTAGTTGCCGGGCGCTCCAAGTGATGTGGCGGGGCACGGGTGGGCGAGGGAGGGTGGAGAGGGGAGGTAGTGAAGTTGAGCTGCGGAAAGGAGAGCAGGCCTGGCCATTGCCCGGGCCTGTGTTTCCCGGGGTGGAGGTCTCCCCCTACACCACTGAAGAACGCGGGGGCGGGGGGGAGGTGTACGGTGTGGGGGGGCGGGGGAAGGGATGAGAGCCCTGCCCGGGCTGGTCCCAAACACTAGCCGGCTGCCCGCACACCCGCGCATGCTCAGTAGGCAGTCCATCTCTGAGTACCTGGGCAGGCTCGGAAATCCTTGGGATGCTGAGGAAAGAATGACAGCCCTCCTTTCTGTGGAGTCTCTCGCTGGACCTGGACTCAGTGATCCTAGACAGGTCAGCTGGAAGGGAAGACATAGGTCTCCATACCGAGCCAGAGGTTCACCGCGAAAGAGGGGCCACCGCCCTGCCCCCACCCAGTCCCAACCCCGCGTCCTAAAGCTCCTCCTGCAGAGCCTGGTGTTCTTCCTGGCTGAGGAGTGGTTCCAAAAAAGCCGGCTCTTCCACGTCCTTCAACTACCCCAGTGGCTCCGTTGCTTGGAAAGGTTGTGCCTTTTGCTGAAATTCTGGGGTCGACAGGAGCTCATATAACAGGGTGGATGCGAGTGCAGATGAAAGCTCCAACTCCTGGAGCGGTTGGGAGGGTGTCTGGATGGCTTACATCAGCTTCTGACACGCAGAGGCCTCCATGGGCGCGAGCTGCGGAGGTAGATGTGCCTCGGCTTCACGTTCCCATGCGCCCTGGCGACCTGGGGACCCTGGCCCCAGCCCCAATACGGACTCATGTGGGACGTGTGTGGCGCAAGCACAACTTGCCCCTGTGACTCAGTCTGAGCGGCTCAAGTTGTCCCACTGAGCACGCACCCAGAAGGCCGCCGTGCTGCGAGTCCTGGTCCCCCTGCCATCTGTTTGACTCAGCCTGAGCGGCCCAAACTGTCCCATTGAGCACAGCACCCAAGAAAGCCACCGTACTGCGGGTCCTGGTCCCCTGGTCTGTTCGGGTGCGGAGGTCACCCAGGTTCTGAGGGTGGGACAGCGCCACTTCCGAAAGAGCCAGGGCAGCAAACGCAAAATCCCCAAGTGCCGCGGCAGGTCGGGAGATTCTTTCTGCCTGCGAAGCCTGGCTGGGCTGCAGCAGAGGGGCCACCCTTGCTGTCTGGCTCACGAAAGCCCCCTGTTCCCCGCGCCCTGGCGTGGGTGAAGGCGCCCAAGGAGGGAGGGTGGCACCCGCGGTCGGCCGCGTTGCACAGGCCGCCTGCGTGCGCGGGTTCCCTGCCACCCTGGCCTGGATGCCTGGACCTTCGATTCTGACACGAAATCTGAATCCTGGACTCCAAAAGGCAGGTCTCTCTGGCCTGTTCGGGTACGGGTTCCGCTCAAAGCACGCTAGCAGGGAATCATTTTCGTTCACGTTACAAACCAGTCTCCTTCGCCCTCCTCGTCCTCGGGCTTCCGCGGGGAAGGGGCTGTCAGAAGGGGGTGGGAGAGCCATCGCGAGGGCACCTCGCTGGAATTTCACGGACACACACGGGCAGAGAGAGGCCGGCGGCTCCCGTGGGCCTCAGTTGGCCTCTGTGCTGCACGCACGCCAGTGGCCCTTATAAAAACCCACCAGCTTCACCCCTTCATGAATATGCATGAGCACCCAAGGGCCCTGGGTAACCCACCCTCCGAAGCCAGAAACCACAGACACAGGGCCTTGTGTGGTAGGCGAAGGTGGGGCCAGATCGGCCAGGAAAGGGGGGCTTTTGGGGCTGGCTCTCTGAGTTCTCCAGAATTCTACGGAAACTGGAAATTTCTCTCTGGGCTCACATACGATTTCAGGGAGAAACCACCCTGGAAGGGTGGAGTGTGGAACTGAACCTCCATGACAGTCTTGAGTTTTCCAGGCCCTCTCCGTGAAGGCGGCAATGCCTGTGGGTGTCGCCGTTGCCGTGATAGTCTCACACACGCAGGTGTGTGGATCTCATTCATTTTTTTATTTTTATTTTTATTTTTTATTTCTACCTCTTAAAGTCAATGATAAAGTCACAAGTGTAAAATGAATGCATTTAAAAACATAAAAGATACATTTCAATGACAAGAAATATGCAATGATCATGAAAATCTACTGTACACTTTGCCAAGGTCAAAGAATGAAAGACAATATGGAAAAGCCAATCTTCAAATATATCCTTAACAAAAACTCTCTCCTACATAGTAAAAGCATAATCTAAACAGCAGCTCCAACCGAGAAAAAAAAAAAAAAAAAAAAAAAAAAGCAGGGGAGATGGGACAGATAACTTTCCCCAGGTTTTCTAGACAAAAACATGTGGTCACCAGGAATTCAAGGTAACTTCAAAAGCCACATTTAATTCAAAATAAAATGAACATTTCTGACAGATGACAGCAGTATGATACTGATTTTTTTCTTTCATAGATACAAATGATATAGGGCATTGCTTAACAGTTTAGTAATCATCTAAGAATTAACTGTAGAAATAACCCCAATTCCACCATCCCAGCCACTGGTATAAAACAAATAACCTTCCATTGATACTGTCTTTCACATAACTAAAATATCCTCACTTACTTGGAACAATTTCATGCTTACACATGATCACAAACACTTATTTTTAGATGTTGTGGAATTATTGGAGCTGAGATTTTTGAAACAATATCTGAATCTTAGCAGAGAGCTAAAAATACTTTCACTATACATTGATTGGGCTTCCTTAACCAAATCTGAGCAACTACTGTAATAATAATGCTGGTGGTAATCCATGATACTCTCAAATTTTTCCCTTTAAGAAATATATAATGCATGTAATTCTAGCAAATATGTTACATTGCACACTTTCTTAACAAGGATTGGCTGTTTTCAGGCCTTATTAGGAAAACAAAGAAACAAACAATGGCAGTTACTATCTGTTTTTTATCACTGATAAGCTACAATAAAACTCAAATATGAGAGTTTAATTGTGTGATATTAAGTAAAAAATGAAAACCATTATAGTTTTACCAAAAGAAACATAAAAAATATGGGAAGAAGTCAAATGAGCATGGCATAAGTCCCAAAGTTACACTATGATTCTGAACAGGATTTTCCAAACAAAGGGTATCTACATAAAATTTCTGTGAATATTTCTTGTACTAGAAAGATCCAAAGCAAATGTAGGCTCAGCCCTACCTTGTCAAAGATAAATATTCAGATAAACTAGAAGTTCCATCTGCTAAAGTGCATCGGCTGACCAGGTCTACCATGGCCCTGCACTTACAGCCATCTAAGAAAGTGGCCTCACTCATGCTCATTCACTCGTTCTGTGGCCTATCAAGAGTCACACATAACAATGGTTTTGCTTTTTTAAAAAAACCAAATACTCTATACAGTGAACTACAGAAAAAACAATTCTAAATATACTTTTAAAATTCTAGAGAGTTAAGGTAACCTCATTTTTTAAAATACTGAAAATGTAAAGGGTCCATATAAAGGGTTGTATTAAGTACACAGTTCCTATTTTAATAATTCAATTGCTGTGCTCTTAAAATCTCTCTGAGAGAAGCAGATATTTTACTCATGTCTTTTGGCAAGGGATTCAAAAGCAAAAGTAGCAGGGCTGTAAAATTTCATAAAATTTGTGGGATTTTTAAAAGCTAAATTATTCAATATTTTGTATTGTTATTGCACTCATATATTGCCCAGAATATATATACAGCAACCCAGCAACAGTGATTGCAACAAAAGTAAGGTAAACAGGTCTACAAAGCATTTGATTTCCTTATTAGATAAATGAAGTTTTCATAGAGGAAGTGCAAATTCAGATCAGGTTACATAAGCTTAACAATTACTTAAACCTTACATAAAACTAAATCTAACCCTCACCACTACAAATCTGTAAGGAATCACTGTCAGGAATCTACAGGACTTGGCTCTTATTTACATTCGACGCACACTTAGAAATTTCATAAATGATGAGATGCAGGCCAAGGGGATTCCTCAAAGGGCTCCACCCAAAAGGAAAAGAAAGAGAGTTAAACAGAGAATTACCATTTACGTATGTGTGTGTAATCAGCTTATTCTTCAGCCTCTAGACAGTGAGGAGGATGAAGAAATGGAAGAAGATAACAAAGAAGAGGAAGAAAAAGATCACAGTGAAGCGATGAAGCCAGAGGAGCCACCTCAATATTTACTGACAGAAAAAATCATGAAGCTGCCCCTCCCTGAATCTTTAAAAGCTTACTTGACATATTTTAGAGACAAATAACTTAGATCAAAAAGAAAGAATGCCTACTGATAATTCCTTTAGTCTTGAAAATGTAGCATTTGTTAGGAATTAAAAGAATTATTTATTTCATCAGAGCAAATTATGGTGGAAAAAATACCACTTGTTACTGTCAGTAACATAAATGATGTATCGGGTGAATAAAAGAATCCTTTTTATAAAATCTATTTTTCTTTAAATCTTGGAAAATTGTTGTTTCACCTCAGAGTGATTTCAAAGTGGAATGTAACAGTAGTCAAGACTTGTGTACTATTTCTGATTCTCCCTTTTCTGATTCCTTACGGATCTCATTCATTTTCATGTAGAAAATGAGAGAGAAACTACAGAGAAAACAAACGCCTGGTGCATCACGTCCTGAGGATGGATTCCTGTTTCCTGCGACATGGGAAGTCTCCACTATGGCCTGTTTCCAAACAGGAAACTGGAAAGGAGAGCGAATACACGAAGCTGCTTTTCCACACTTCTCTGGAGGTTTCTGTGTCCCCACAGAGCTCGGGAAACAAACAGTCAACAGGGCCACGCTTTCGGGGGCCAGAGACGCATGAGCAACAGGCCCCCTTGCAGAAGGCAAAGGAACGTGGAACCCGAAACCACGCTTCAGTCGGCCTGAATGTGACTCCTGTGTGGACGGGACTATCCACCTCGCGCTCCGTTGCAGGCTCAACGTGGGGCTATCTCATCTGTGAACCATGTGGATGAAAAATGGACAATCACCCGAGTCTCGGCTCATTGCTCTCTGGGCAATTCGCTCATTCCTTGGGAGACGAAATTCGTCTGAATCGCTCCCGGATGAAGCAACCCAGGCTGGCGATCCGGAGGGCCGGTGAGAGCGCCGCAGGCCGACGCGGCTGTGGGCAGAGCACTCAGCCTGCACTGGGCACCCAACATTTTCCCGGAGTGGGAGATCCTGCTGGTCCTGGAGGCAGAAGACTGCTTTTCTCTCTGCCTTCCTCTCTCTGTTTCTTGCTCCCTCCCACCCTCTTTCCCTCCGTCCCTCCCTCAGTTCCTCCCTTCCTCCCTCCCTCCCTCCTTCCCTCTCTCCCTCCTTCTATCCCTCCATCCTTTCCAAGGTCCCACGGTCCATCCGTTATTTTCTCCCTCCATCGCTCCCTCCCTCTCTGTCTCCGTTCCTCTCCCCATCTCTGCCTGAGTTCCCTCCTGCGTAGAAAGGGCAGTACTCCGGCTTGCACGGGGTCTCGGGTCTGCATTTAGCTGTCAGGCGCTCCACGGCGATGCCGAGGAAGCTGGCGTGGCAAGAGTAGGCGAGTGACGGTGGGGCGGGGAGGCAGAGGGGGCGAGACGCAGAAAGAAGAGCAGGCCTGGCGTCTGCCCGGGCCAGTGTTTCCCGGGATGTAGGTCTCCGCCCGCCCCAAAGAAGAACGCGGCAGGGGGCAAGAGGGAAGGGATGAGAACTCCTCCTAGACTAGTTAGAAAACCTAGGCTACTGCCTGCTAACCCGCGCATGAGCAGTAGACAGTCCGCCTCCCAGTACCTGGACCGGCCCTGGGATCCCCGGGATGCTCAGGAAAGAATGATACCCCTCCTCTGAGTGGAGTCTCTCACGGGACCTGGAACTCAGGGATCCTAGGCAGATCAGCTGGAAGGGAAGACACGCCTCTCCATACCGAGTCAGAGGTTCACCGCGAAAGAGAGGCCGCCGCCCTGCCCCCACCCCGCCCCAACCCCGTGTCCTAAAGCTCCTCCAGCAGAGCCCGGTGTTCTTCCTGGCTGAGGAGTGGTTCCAACGGAGCGGGCTCTTCCACCTCCTTCAGCTTCCCCAGTGGCGCCGGATCTAGGAAAGATTGTGCCTTTTTCTGAAACTCTGGGGTTGGCAGGAGCTCATCTAACAGTCTGGGGGTGTGTGTAGACAAGCGCCCCGACTCCTGGAGCGGTTGGGAGGTGCCTGGATGGCTTGCATATGTGCTTGACGCGGAGGCCTCCGGGGTCGCGAGCTTCAGAGGTGGAGGTGCCCGGTCTTCGGTTTCCCACGCCGCCCTGGGGACCCGGGGCTCCAGCCCCACCGTGGACTCCGGTGGGACGTGGGTGGTGCAAACACACCTTGCCCCTGTGACTCAGCTTGAGGGGGCCCAAGCTGTCCCACTGAGCACGCGCCCAGCAGGCCGCCGTGCTGCGGGTCCTCTTCCTCCTGGCATTTGTTAGGGTGCGGAGGCCACCGAGGAGTCTGAGGGTGGGACAGTCCTACTTCCAGAGGAGCCAGGGCAGCGAACACAAAATCCCTGCGTGCAGGGGCAGGTTGAGAGATTCCTTCTGCCTGCGCAGCCTGGCTGGGCTGGAGCGGGGGGAAGGCCCTTGCTCCCTGGCTCACGAAAGCCCCATGTGGGAGAGCCCCAGGCATGCAGGGCGTATGGAGTGCAGGAAGCCCAGTTCCCCAAGCCCTGGTGTGGGTGAACTCGATTGAGGAGGGAGGAGGATGACACCCGCCCGGGGTGTTAATTAGTAACCACAGTGGCCTCAAAGAGCTCAAATGAAAGGAAGAATTGCATGTCTCTCACTTTAAGTCCAGAGCTAGAAATGATTAAGCTTACTGAAGATGTAAAATTTTCATCGCTAGAGAGACGTCAACACTTGGCTTCAAAACTTCAAAGGAAGGGCTGTCTGTCTTTGAGGACCACTGCAGTTGGTGACTTTAAGTTACAGCCAATGCTCATTGACCACTCTGAAAATCTCAGGGCCCTTAAGAATTATGCAAAATCTATTCTTGCTGTGCTCTAGAAATGGAAGATCACAATCTGAGTGACAACACATTTGTTAAGAGCACGGTTTACTGAATATTTTAATCCCACTATTGAGACCTACTGCTCAGAAAAAAACAAAAAAAGAAAAAACAAAAACGATTCCTTTATAGGGATTGCTGCTTGGCCAGGCACAGTGGCTCACACCGGGGAGTGGGGAACCGGGCTTCCCGCACCCCACACGCCCTGCATGCCTGGGGCTCTCCCACATGGGGCTTTCGTGAGCCAGGGAGCAAGGGCCTCTCCCCCTCTCCAGCCCAGCCAGGCTGCGCAGGCAGAAGGAATCTCTCAACCTGCCCCTGCACGCGGGGATTTTGTGTTCACTGTCCTGGCTCCTCTGGAAGTAGGACTGTCCCACCCTCAGACTCCTCGGTAGCCTCCACACCCTAACAAACGCCAGGAGGAAGAGGACCTGCAGCACGGTGGCCTATTTGGTGCATGCTCAGTGGGACAGCTTGGGCCCCCTCAAGCTGAGTCACAGGGGCAAGGTGTGTTTGCGCCACCCACGTCCCACCGGAGTCCGCGGTGGGGCTGGAGCCCCAGGTCGCCAGGGCAGCGTGGGAAACCGAAGACCGGGCACCTCCACCTCTGTAATCCTTGCACTTTGGGAGGCTGAGGTGGGTGGATTGCCTGAGGTCAGGAGTTGGAGACCAGCCTGGTGAAAATGATGAAACCCTGTCTCTAATAAAAATACAAAAAAATTAGCCGGCCAGGGTGGTGGTACCTGTAATTTCAGCTACTTGGGAGGCTGATGCAGAAGAATGGTTTGAACCCTGGAGGCAGAGGTTGCAGTGAGCCGAGACCATGACACTGCCCTCCAGCCTCGGCAACAAGAGGGAAACTACATAAAGGAAAAAAAAAGGAAAGAAAAGAAAAAAAGAAAAAAGATTGCTGCTTATTGACAATTCACCTAGCTACCCAGAAGCTTAGATGGAGATGTACTTGGAAATTAATGTTATTTTCATGACTGCTATTGCTAATACAACATATATCCTTCAGCCTGTGGATCAAGGAGTGGTTTTGACTTTAAAGTGTTTATATTAACTAATAAATGCATTTTATAAAGGTATAGCTGTCATAGATAGTAATTTCTTTGATGAATCTGGATAAACTGAATTGAATACCTTTTGGAAAGGTTTCACCATTAATCCCTTCATGATATTTCAACCTCCTCCCATGAATCACAAATGTCCTTAATAGCAAATGCCATTAAGGACGTTTGTGATTGATGGGAGGAGGTTGAAATATCAACATTAACAGGAGTTTGGAAGAAGTTGATTCCAGCCCTCATGGAAGACTTTGAGGGCTCAGGATGTCAGTGGAGGAAGTCCCTACAGATGTGGTAGAAATCGCAAGACAACCAGAATTAGAATTAGGGCCTTAAGACGAGATTAAATTGCTGTAAACTCATGATGAAACTTGAACAAGTGGGGAGTTTCTTCTTATGGATGAGCAAAGAAAATATTTTCTTGAGATGGAATCTACTCCAGGTGGAGATGCTATGAACTTTGTTGAAATAACAACAAAGGATTTAGAATATTCCATAAACCTAGTTGATAAAGCAGCAGCAGGGTTTGAGAGGGTTTACTCCAATTTTGAAGGAAGTTCTACTGTGGATAAAATGCTATCAAACAGCATCACATGCTACAGGGAAATGTTTTGTGAAAGGAACAAACTTCATTGTTTTAAGAAATTGACACAGGCACCCAACCTTCAGCAGCCCCCACACTGATCAGTCAGCAGCCATCAACATAGCGGCAAGACCCTCACTGTAGAGAAAAGAAAGAGAGATCTGACTGTTACTATGTCTATATAGAAAGGAAAAAACATAAGAGACTCCATTTTGAAAGACTTGTACTTTAACAATTGCTTTGCTGAGATGTTGTTAATTTGTAGCTTTGCCCCAGCCACTTGGCCCCAACCTGGAGCTCACAAAAACATGTGTTGTATGAAATCAAGGTTTAAGCGATCTAGGGCTGTGCAGGATGTGCCTTGTTAACAAAATGTTTACAAGCAGTATACTTGGTAAAAGTCATTGCCATTCTCTAATCTCAATAAATGAGGGGCATAATGCACTGCAGAAAGCCGCAGGGGCCTCTGCCCTTGAAGGCGGGGTATTGTCCAAGGTTTCTCCCCATAGGAGAGTCTGAAATATGGCCTCATGGGATGAGAAAGACCTGACTGTCCCCCAGCCCGACACCCATTCAGAGTCTGTGCTGAGGTGGATTAGTAAAAGAGGAAAGCCTCTTGCAGTTGAGATAGAGGAAGGCCACTGTCTACTGCCTGCCCCTGGGAACTGAATGTCTCAGTATAAAACCCGATTGTACATTTCTTCAATTCTGAGATAGGAGAAAAACCGCCCTATGGTGGGAGGCCAGACATGTTTGCAGTAATGCTGCTTTGTTATTCTTTACTCCACTGAGATGTTTGGGTGGAGAGAAACATAAATCTGGCTTACGTGCACGTCCAATCATAGTACCTTCCCTTGAACTTAATTATGACATAGATTCTTTTGCTCACATGTTTTTGCTGACCTTCTCCTTATTATCACTCTGCTCTCCTACTACATTCCTTTTTGCCGAAATAATGAAAACAATAACCAATAAAAACTAAGGGAACTCAGAGGCCGGTGCTGGTGCAGGTCCTTGGCACGCTAAGCGGCGGTCCCCTTGGCCTACCGTTGCTTCTCTATACTTTGTCTCTATGTCTTACTTGTTTTCTCAGTCTCTCGTCCCACCTCACTAGAAATACCCACAAGTGTGGAGGGGCAGACCACCCCTTCACTCACCAGCAAAAAGATTATGACTTGATGAGGCTCAGATATTCATTAGTATTTTTCAGCAATGAGGTATTTTAAGTTAAGGTATGTACATAGTTTTTTAGACATAATGCGATTACTAATTAATTAATTATTAATTATTAAATACTCATTAGACTACAACATAATTTAAACATAACTTTTATAAGCACTGGGAAACAAAATGTGTATGCAACTAACTCGATTGTAACATTTTCCTTATTGTGGTTGTCTGGAACCAAACCCACACTATCTCTGAGTATGCTTGTAGGTTTTTGGTTGTTCTTTGTTTTGAGATGGGGTTTCGCTCTGTCACCCAGGCCAGAGTGCAGTGGCATGATCATAGCTCACTGCAACCTCAAACTGCTGGGTCAAGTGATTGTTCTACCACAGCCTCCTGAGTAGCTGGGACTACAGGCATGCAGCACTATGCCTGGCTATATATATATATATATTTTTTTTTTTTTTTGAGACGGAGTCTCGCTCTTTCGCCCAGACCAGAGTGCAGTGGCGCTATCTCGGCTCGCTGCAATCTCCGCCTCCCGGGTTCACACCATCCTCCTGCCTCAGACTCCCGAGTAGCTGGTACTACAGGCGCCCACACCAGGCCTGGCTAATATTTTGTATTTTTAGTAGAGACGGGGTTTCACCGTGTTAGCCAGGATGGTCTCGATCTGCTGACCTCGTGATCTACCCGCCTCGGCCTCCCAAAGTGCTGGGATGACAGGCGTGAGCCACCGCACCTGGCCTGCCTTTTCTCTCTAGTGGCTCAAGGCCCATGGTGTGTGGTGCGCCTGATCTCCAATGCTTTTGAACAGTGTAGAAAGTGTTGCTGTCTGTATTTAATTTTTTCCTACATGTGTGGTCTCAATCGATCACAAGAAGATCAATAAGCCCTTCTCCTTATTCTACTTCCCTTTCTAGCAATGGAGAACTTTGATTGGATTTTTCCTGCCTACAGACAGGAATGAGTCTGCAGTTTTCTTTTTTAAACCCGAGGGGACTGTGCCTGAGGGTCTCGAGCGCGGCCACCCTCCCCCAACCCCCGACTGGCGACTGTGGTGGTGGTGGTGGTGGTTTTGTGTTCCAGCTTCTGTTCTGTTGTTGTTGTTGTTGGTGCTGCTGCTGCTGTTGCTGCTGCTGCTGGTGCTGTCGTCGTTGTTTTGGTATTTTACAGACTCAGGGGGTGTATGTGCTTGTTTGTTAGATCAGCATACTACTGCTTCCGGATGCAGAAGTGGACCTCCAGTGTATGCCTTACCCACGTGGCGAACGTTGTCTCTGACGGGCGATTTATTCATTCCTCGTCCCCCTCTTACCCTCCTCCTCCCCCTCTTACCCTCCTCCTCCCTTTTGGAGTGTCTGTTATTTCCATCTTGATGACCGTGCGCGTACCCATTATTTACCTCCCACTTGTAAGCAGAAGGCAGTTCACTCGGTACATACTTGCTTCCAGCTCTATCCATGTTGTGGGAAAAGACGTGAAATCACTCTTTTTTGTGCCTGCACCATTGGATAATTTTAACTTTTTTCTCTTCTTTTCTTTTCTTTTCTTTTCTTTCCTCCTCCTCCTCCTTCTTTTTTTCATTTTTTTCAGCTGGGCTCTCCTACTTGTGTTGCTCAGTTGCTCAGGCTGGTCTCAAACTCCTGGACTTGACACTTCTTCCGTCACATCAACCGCCTGGTTGTTGAAATGAGCATCTCTTGTAAAATTGAAAAGATGAAAAAAATAAAGAGAAAGACAAAAAGCACGGGGTGAAGGTTTCTCTTGCCGCCTCCCAGGGTGTACCTTGGACCCGATAGGTGGGAGGGAACTTGGCTGGGTGGGTTTTCGGTGCTAAATCCTCCCGAGGGTCTCCTTCCCTCTCCCCCCTGTCCCCGCTTCTCCACCAGCCAAGGCTCCCACCGCCGCTGTGGGATTTTCCGTGGGAGAAGTATGGGAGAGGACTGACGCAGCTTCCAGATCTATATCCTGCCAGACGTCTCTGGCTCAGCGTCCCCCACCGGCTGCCTGCCACCTTCCAAGGAGCTCTGAAGCCGATGCCCCGCCCCCTTCACGTCCCGCCACCCTCCCCTGGCTGGGCTACGCCCGGCGACCCCAAGGGAGCCGCGTTGAGGCTTTCTTTTTTTTTCTTGTTTTATTTTATTATTATTATAGTTTAAGTTTTAGGGTACATGTGCACAAAGTGCAGGTTTGTTACATATGTATACATGTGCCATGTTGTTGTGCTGCACCCATTAACTCGTCATTTAGCATTAGGTATATCTCCTAATGCTATCCCTCCCCCCTCCCCCCACCCCACAACAGTCCCCGGTGTGTGAAGTTCCCCTTCCTGTGTCCATGTGTTCTCATTGTTCAATTCCCACCTATGAGTGAGAACACGTGGTGTTTGTTCTTTTGTCCTTGTGATAGTTTGCTGAGGATGATGGTTTCCAGTTTCACCCATGTCCCTACAAAGTACATGAACTCATCATTTTTTATGGCTGCATAGTATTCCAAGGTGTCAAATCCTCCAGCAAAAACTTCCACCAGATGCCCCGGGTGGGCCGGATGGATGGGACGAGACTGGACCACCCCGGACCATGCTGTTCTTGGGGGTGGGTTGACGTACAGGGTGGACTGGCAGCCCCAGCATTGTAAAGGGTGCCCAGGTATGGAAATGTCACATAGGATGCCCTCCTTCCCGTCAGCCTGCCTTCAGCTTCCTCAGGCATGAAGACAACTTCCCATCAGAACCTCTTTTCTTCCCTTTCTCCACCACACAGATGAGACGCATGAGAGGGAGAAACATCTCAATAGATACTGCTGACCTTCATTTGTGGAATCCTCAGTCATCTACAGACAGAGAGGTGACTAGACAGGGACCCAAATCAAACTCCATTTCCGGGTCCTCATGGTGGGATTGGTCTCTCTCTCTCTGTCTCTCTCTCACACACACACACACACACACACACACACACAATTTCCACATCTAGTTCACAAACCACACTAATTTACCCTTTTCACAGTATGCAGTCTGAGTAAAACCCACCCCACCCTCCACCCGGCGGCTGACGAAACCCCTTCTCTACAATTTATTAAAAAGATTATCTGGGCCGGGCACAGTGGCTCACACCTGTCATTCCAACACTTTGAGAGGCCAAGGCGGGTGGATCGCTTGAGGCCAGGAGTTCAAAACCAGGCTGGCCAACATGGCGAAACCCCATCTCTATGAAAAATTAGCCAGGCCTGGTGGCCTAGGCTTGTAATCTCAACTACTTAGGAGACTGAGGTGGGCGGATTGCTTGAACCAGGGAGGCTGAGGTTGCAGTGAGCTGAGATCATGCCATGGCAATTATTGAGACAGAGCGAGACTCTCTCAATAATCATAATATTATTATAAGATTAGTTGTGCGTGCTGATACCCGACTGTAGTCGCAGCTACTCGTGAGGCTGAGATAAGGAGAAGATCACTTGAGGCCCCACAGGTCAAGGCTTCAGTCAGCTGTGACCCACTGTATCCTGGGCAGTCACCAGTCAAGGAGATATGCCCCTCCCCGTTTTCTTTCTTTTCTTTTCTTCTCTTTTCTTCTTTTTTCTTCTCTCTTCTTCTCCCATTATTTCTTTCTTTCTCTCTTTCTTTCTTTCTTTCTTTCTTTCTTTCTTTCTTTCCTGCCTCACTGCCTTCCTGCCTTTCTTCTTTCCTCCCTTTCTCCCTTCCTTCTTTCCTCCCGCCTCGGCCTCCCAAAGTGCTGGGATTACTGGCGTGAGGCACCATGCCTGCTTGGCCTAAAGGGACGCCCTTTGAAAGTAAGACACAGACAGCGCTTTCCAGTGATCTGATTGATTGATTGACTGATTTAGAGACAACGTCTCACTCTGTCACCCTGGCAGTGGTGCCATCATAACTCACTCACTGCAGCGTGGACGCTTCTGGACTCAAGCGATCCTTCCACATCAGCCTCCAGAGTAGAGTACCTGGGACCACAGGCACGTGCCATTGTGCCCAGATATTTTTATTTACTTATTTATTTTTTTCCCCGAGACAGAGTTTCGCTCTTGTTGCCCAGACTGGAGTGCAATGGCGCAATCTTGGCCCACCACAACCTCTGCCTCCCGGGTTCAAGCTATTGTCCTGCGTCAGCCTCCTGAGTAGCTGGGATTGCAGGCATGCGCCACCACGTCTGGCTGATTTTGTATTGTTAGTAGAGAAGGGGCTTCTCCATGTTGGTCAGGCTGGTCTCGAACTCCCGACCTCAGGTGATCCGCCCTCCTCGGCCTCCCAAATTGCTGGGATGGCAGGGGTGAGCCACTGCGCCTGGCCTTCATTTTTAAATGTTTTTCCACAGAGAGGGTCTCATCATTTTGTTGCAACCTTCCTGACCCGGCATCTCAAAGTGCTGGCGTGCAGGGCTTGAGCCACTGAGGCTTGACTCCGGGGAATGATTCACGACCACGACTGCTGTAGTCTTTCTTTCTTTCTTTCTCTTTCTTTCTTTCTTTCTTTCTTTCTTTCTTTCTTTCTTCCTTCCTTCCTTTCTTTCTTTCTTTCTCTCTTCTTTCATTTATTGATGAAATTTTTTATTATTGATTGATTTTGAGACGGAGTCTCACTCTGGTTGAGGCGAGGCGAGGCGAGGCGCATCGCTTTGGAAGCCGCAGCGCTGCCTTCTAAAGCCCCATTCAAATGCACAAAGCCCTATTCCCTTCCTGGAGTTGGAGCTGATGCCTTCCATTGCCTTGGGCTTCTCTCCATTCAGAAGATTTTACATGCGCAACCCCACCCAGAGGCTGGCTGCGGCTGAGGATTAGGGGGTGTGGTGGGGCTGGAAACTCGGTCCCCCATTGTTGCAAGCTCAGCCAAGACATCCCCCGACCCCCATCGCTTGCTCACCCTTTGAGATCCCCTACCTCCACTGCCTTGGAGGCTGAACTCTTACTTTAATTTCTGTCTTTCTTCCTTTCCTGCGTTTGAGGAGGGGGTGCAGGAATGAAGGTGTGTGTGGGGAGGGAGTGCGTGGTGGGGACGGAGGGGAGCGTCCTAAGGGTCGATTTAGTGTCTTGCCTCTTTCACCGCCACCACCGAAGATGAAAGCAACAATCAGCTAAATACCGCATGTTCTCATCCCTAAGTGGGAACTTATAGATGAGAGTTCTGCATGGGCAGAACGAGGGGGACGAGAGACGCGGGAGCCTACTTGAGGGAGGAGGGGTGGAAGGACAGACAGCTTCAGGAGAAACCAAAACAAAACAAAACATGAAAACTGTCGAGTACTGCTCTGAGTGTCTGGGTGATGAAATCATCTGCACACTGAACCCCCGTCAGAAGTTTACCTATGTAACGATCTTGCACATGTATGTTTGAACAAGAAATGAAAGTTAGGGGAGAAAGAGAGAGAAAAGGAGAGAAAGAGGGAGAGAGGGAAAGAGAGAGAGAGAGAACTGAAACGAAACACCACCTCCTTGACCTGAGTCAAGGTGTTTCTGGCCTTTCGGGGGAACATTCAGCAACAATGCAGTACTTGGGCCTGTTCTTTTTTTTTCTTCTTTTCTTTTTTTTGGACTGAGTCTCTCTCGCTCTTTCACCCAGGCTGCGGTGCAGTGGCGCTCTCTCGGCTCACTGAAACCTCTGCTTCCCGGGTTCCAGTGATTCTTCTTCGGTAGCTGGGATTACAGGCGCGCATGACGATAGCCGGCTAATTTTTCTATTTTTAGTAGAGACGGGGTTTCTCCATGTTGGCCACGTTGGTATTGTACTCCTGACCTCAAGTGATCCACTCTCCTGGGCCTCCAAGTGCTGGGACGACAGGCCTGAGCCGCGGGGATTTCAGCCTTTAAAAGCGCGGGCCCTGACACTTTTCGCTGCGACCCTTATGCTCAGAATGACGTGTCCTGTCTGCCATAGGTTGACTCGTTGAGTCCCCTATGCCATTGCACTCTAGCCTGGGCAGCAAGAACGAAACTCCGTCCCCCCACCTTCCCGTGCAAATTAATAAATAAATAAAATCTCTACACATGACCTATAAGTGTGTGTTCCCATGAGTGATTTCTAAGAAATGGCACTGTACACTGAAGGCAGTGGCCCACGTCTGTCATCCCAGCACTTTGGGAGGCCGCGGTGGGTGGGTCACGAGGTCAGGAGTTCAAGACCAGCGTAGCCAACATGGTGAAACCGACTCAGTTTCGTATTTTCAATCTCTACTGAAAATACAAAACTGAGTCGGGAGCGGTGGGGCAGACACCTGTAATCCCAGCTACTCGGGAGGTTGAGGCAGGAGAATAGCTTGAACCTGGGAGGCAGAGGTTTCAGTGACCCGGGATGGCTCCACTGCACTATAGCTTGGTCGACAGAGTGAGGCTTGGTCGACAGAGTGAGACTTGGTCTCCAAATAAATAAATGAAAGGAAGAAAGAAAGAAAGAAAGAAAGAAAGAAAGAAAGAAAGAAAGAAAGAAAGAAAGAAAGAGAAAAGAAAAGAAGAAAGGAAAAAAGAAAAGAAAAGAAAAAGAAAAAAAAGAAAAAAAAGAAAAGAAAAGAAAAGAAAAGAAAAGAAAAGAAAAGAAAAGAAAAGACCAGAAAAGAAAGATAAAATGAAAGAGAAGGCACTGTATCGCTACTGGGCTAGGACTTTCTCTCTTTCTGTCTGTTTCTCTCTGTCTCTGTCTGTCCATCTCTGTCTTTATCTGTCTCTTTCTCTGTCTGCCTGTCTGTCTGTCTCTTTCTTTCTCTCTCTCTCTGCCTGTCTCACGGTGTCTGTCTTCTGTCTAACTCTCTTTCTCTGCCTGTCTCTCTCTCTCTCCCTCCCTCTCTGTTTCTCTCTCTCTGTCTCTCTCTTTCTGTCTGTTTCTCTCTGTCTCTCTCTGTCTCTGTTTCTCTCTGTCTCTCTCTGTTTTTCTCTGTCTCTCTATTTCTTTTTCTGAGTCTCTCTGTCTGTCTCTCTCGCTGTCTCTCTCTGTCTGTGCCTATTTCTGTCTTACTCTCTTTCTCTACCCGTCTGTCTCTCTCTGTCTGTCCCTCTCCCTCTCTTTCTGTCTCTCTCTCTCTCTCACTCTCTGTCTGTCTCTCTTTCTGTCTGTTTCTCTCTGTCTCTCTCTCTCCATGTCTGTCTCTCTTTCTTTCTCTCTACCTCTGTCTGTCTCTCTCTGCCTGTCTCTCTCACTGTGTCTGTCTTCTGTCTTACTGTCTTTCTCTGCCTGTCTCTCTCTCTCTCCCTCCCTGCCTTTCTGTTTCTCTCTCTCTCTCTTTGTATGTTTCTCTCTGTCTGTCTCTGTCTGTCTCTTCCTCTGTCTGTCTGTCTCTCTCTTTCTTATTTTTTTTTTTTTTTTTCAGATGGAATCTCGCTGTGTCGCCCAGGCTGGAGTGCAGTGGCGCCATCTTGGCTCACTGCAAGCTCCACCTCCCAGGTTCACGCCATTCTCCTGCCTCAGCCTCCCGAGTAGCTGGGACTATAGGCGCCCACCACCACGCCTGGCTAATTTTTCGTATTTTTAGTAGAGACGGGATTTCACCATGTTAGCCAGGATGGTCTCGATCTCCTGACCTCGTGATCCGCCCGCCTTGGCCTCCCAAAGTGCTGGGATGACAGGAGTGAGCCACCACGCCCAGACTGTCTCTCTCTCTCTTTCTCTCTCTCTCTCTTTCTCTCTCTCTCTTTCTCTCTCTCTCTCTCTCTGTGCCTATCTTCTGTCTTACTCTCTTTCTCTGCCTGTCTGTCTCTCTCTCTCTATCTGTCTCTCTCCCTCCCTGTCTGTTTCTCTCACTCTGTCTCTCTCGCTCTCTCTCTCTCTCTCGCTATTTCTCTCTGTCCGTCTCTGTCTTTTTCTCCATCTCTCTCTTTCTTTCTCTCTGTCTCTGTCTCTCTCTCCCTCTGCCTGTCTCTCTCACTGTGTCTGTCTTCAGTCTTACTCTCTTTCTCTGCCTGTCTGTCTCTCTCTCCCCATCTCTTTCTGTTTCTCTCTCTCTCTCTATCTCTCACTCTCTCCGTCTCTCTCTCTTTCTGTTTCTGTCTCTCTCTGTCTCTTTGTGTCTGTCTGTTTCTCTCTCTTTTTCTGTCTCTCTCTCTTTCTGTTTGTTTCTCTCTGTCTGTCTCTGTCTGTCTCTCTCTCTCTGTCTCTCTCCCTCCCTGTCTGTTTCTCTCTCTCTCTCTGTCTCTGTCTCTCTCTCTTTCTGTCTGTTTCTCTCCGTCTCTCTCTGTCCATCTCTGTCTTTCTATGTCTGTCTCTTTCTCTGTCAGTCTGTCAGACCCCCCGTGCCGGGGAGGGTCCTGCCCCTTCCACGAAAGTGAGAAGCGCCTGCTTAGAGAGGCCGAGAGGAATCTAGACAGATGAGACTTGCTAGGCTTCGCCACTCGGCGTATGATTTCGGGAGGTCGAGGCCGGGTCCCCACTTGGATGGAAGGGGCATTTTCAAGCTTTTCTCTCTGTTACGTGTGGCGTCCCTACTTCTCATATTTCCCTGATCAGCTCCTTGACTTAAAAATACACGGTTAAGGCCAGGCTCGGTGACTCACGTCTGTCATCCCAGCACTTTGGGAGGCCGAGGCGGGTGGATCACCTGAGATTGGGAGTTCGAGACCAGCCTTGCCAACACGGCGAAACCCCGTCTCTACTAAAAATACTAAATTGAGTCGGGCGCGGGGGGGCAGGCGCCTGTAATGCCAGCTACTCGAGAGGCTGAGGAGGGAGCATCACTTGAACCTGGGAGGCGGAGGCTGCAGTGAGCCGAGATCACGCCACTGCACTACCGCCCCGGCTGTAGAGTGAGTGAGACTCTGTCTCTAAATAAATAAATAAATAAATACATACATACATACATACATACATTCTTTTCCCTGCTGACTGACACTTGCAGGCATCGGTTGTCTTCGGGCATCACCTAGCGGTCACTGTTATTGAAAGTCGAGGTGACACGGGAGGGAGGTCTCGCCGACTTCACGGAGCCTGGGGCAACCGATTTCTCCCTCTCCCTTCTGGAGGCCCCTCCCTCTCTCCCTCGTTGCCTAGGGAACCTCCGCCCTGGCGGGGGCCCTATCGTTCTTTGATCAGCGCTTTAGTTTTCTTTGTGTGTTGGTTTCTTTCATGCGCATAGACTCTTCTACTTGGGTTTTAGGAGGGGTCAGTTTAATTTTCAAGTCGCCCCCCGGCTCCCCCCACTACCCACGTCCCTTTACCTTCGTTTAGTGAGTCAGTTAGGTGGGTTCCCCACAAACCCCCTACCCCCCGCCTCCCAACACCCTGCTTGAAAACCTTCCGGAGCCAACCCGGTGTGCCTCCGTCTTCTCTCCCCTTCCCCCACCCCTTGTCGGCGATCTCATTCTTGCCAGGCTGACATTTGCAACGGTGGGCGTCAGGCCTTACTCAGTGGCCACCGTTTTTGAAGATGGGGGTGGCACGGTCCCACTTCCCCAGAGGCAGCTTGGGCCGATGGCATAGCCCTTGACCCGCGTCGGCAAGCGGGCGGGTCTGCAGTTGTGGGTTTTTTACCCCGCTTCCTTCCTCAGGCCTCCCTCCCTAGGAAACCTTCACCCCGGCTGGGTTTCAATCACCTTTTATCATGATGTTTTAGTTTCTCCGCCCTCCGGCCAGCATAGTTTCACAATAGGAATGACGTCACAGCTCTAGTCTGGGCCTTCTTAGTATTTGTCCAAAATAGAAACGCTTTCTGAAAACTAATACTTTGCTCACTTAAGATTTCCAGGGACAGTGCCTTGGCCCGTGTTTGTTGGCTTGTTTTGTTTCGTTCGTGTTTTTCCTTTTTCTTATGTATTTCTTTTTAGATGAAGTAGAAATCCCCAGTTTTCAGGAAGACGTATATTTTCCCCAAGACATGTAAGCTGCGGTTTTCTCCTGTTGTTTACTAACGATTTTGTGAATCTCTGAACGTATAGTGAGAGCCGGTTGATGTTTACTACTCTTCAGAACATCTTATGTTCTAGAAATCCGTAAGTGAATGCTGCTGCTGCTCTTGCTGCTGCTGCTGCTCTTGTTGCTGTTGTTGTTGTTGTTTTCAAAGCACACCTCGGCCACCGTTTATGGGATCAAAAGCGTTATAAAATATGTGTAATTATTTCCTGAGCACGCCCTTCCTCCTCCTCTCTCTGTCTCTCTTTCTCCGTCTTCTCTCTCTCTCTGTCTCTCTCTGCCTATTTCTCTCTCTCTCTGTCTGTCTCTCTCACTGTGTCTGTCTTCTGTCTTACTCCCTTTCTCTGCCTGTGTGTGTGTCTCTCTCTCCGCCTGTCTGTCTCTCTCTCTCTGTCTCTTTCTCTCTGTCTCTGTCTCTCTCTCTTTCTGTTTATCTCTGTCCGTCTCTGTCTTTCTCTGTCTGTCTCTCTGTCTCTCTCTCTTTCTTTCTCTCTGTCTCCCTGTCTCTGTGTGTCTCTCTCTCTGCCTGTCTCTCTCACTGTGTCTGTCTTCTGTCTTACTCTCTTTCTCTGCCGGTCTCTCTCTCTCTCTCTCTCTCTGTCTCTCTCTCTTTGTTTCTCTCTGTCTCTCTCTGTCCATCTCTGTCTTTCTCTGTGTGTCTCTTTGTCTGCCTGTCTGTATTTCTGTTTCTCTGTCTCGCTGTCTCTGTCTCTCTCTCTGCCTGTCTGTCTGTAGGTCTCTCTCTCCCTGTGTGTCTGTTTTTTTTCTCTCTTTCTCTTTGCCTGTCTGTTTCTCTGTCTCTGTCTCTCTGTCTGTCTCTCTCTGCCTGTCTCTCTCTGTGTCTGTCTTCTGTCTTACTGTCTTTCTCTGCCTGTCTGTCTCTCTCTCTCCTTGTCTGTTTCTCTCTCTCTCTCTGTCTCTGTTTCTGTCTGTCTATCTCTGTCTCTTTCTCTCTCTGTCTCTTTCTCTCTGTCTGTCTCTCTCTCTGTCTCTCTCTTTCTCTCTGTCTGTCCATCTGTCTCTCTGTGTGTGTGTGTGTGTCTGCCTTCTGTCTTACTCTCTTTCTCTGACTGTCTGCCTGTCTGTCTCTGTCTGTCTCTCTTTCTGTTTCTCTCTGTCTCTGTCCATCTCTGTCTTTCTCTGTCTGTGTCTTTATCTGTCTGTCTCTCTCTCTCTTTCTGTCTTTCTCTCTTTGTGTATCTTTGTGTCTCTCTGTCTGTCTCTCTCTGTCTCTGTCTTTGTCTCTCTCTCTCTCTCTCTCTCTCTCTCTCTCGCCTTCTCTCTGGCTCTCGCTATCTCCCACCCTCTCTTTCTTTGCAAAATAAGTTCAAGTACGTCTAATCTAATCCATTACCACGGCCTGAATTCTTAACTTTAGACATCCCAGATTTGATCTCCCTACAGAATGCTGTACAGAACTGGCGAGTTGATTTCTGGACTTGGATTCCTCATAGATACTACATATTAATAAAGATCCAACCCTAAAATCTGGGGTTGCGTCTCCCTCGACTGTCTCAAAAAATCATACCTCTGTTCACCTAGGATGCTGGGAAGGTTTTCTCAATGTGCATCTGCTCGTGTCCTACATGAACTGTGACCGAGCCCTGTCCGTTCTGTCTCAAATATGTATCTGCAAACACGTCTCTCCATTTCCACAACTACCCATGGCCCATTGTGGAACCATTGGCTCTTTGAAAAAAAATCCCAGAAGTGGCTTTGACTTTTTGGCTAGGAGGCCTAAATCTGCTGAGAACTTTCCTGCCCAGGATTCTGTGTGAACAAAATTGCCTCTGCTGGGAGCTGGGATCCTCGGGACCATGCTTGCTAGCGCTGGATGAATCTCTGGAAGGACGCACGGAACTCCGCAAAGCTGACCTGTCCCACCGAGGTCAAATGGATACCTCTGATTTGGTCCGAGGCTTCCAACTTACATCACCATCACCAACCGTCGCCATCAGGATCCTTGTGAACCTGCCCAAGGCCCCGACTCCGGGGAGACTCTTGGGAGCCCAGTCTTCGTCGGCTAAAGTACAAAGGGTTGGCAACTTCCACCCACAAGGTCCCCACTGAACTGCTAAGATGTGGAGCGTAGGTCAGAGAGGGGACCAGGAGGGGAGACGTCCTGACAGGCGATGAGTTAACTAGGCTCTGGCCACTCTACTCATGTCCCACGTCCCGGGCACCCATGGGACACCGCCGCTTTATCCCCTTCTCTGTCCACAGCCGCCCCCACCCCACCCCGCAACCCATGCACACACGCTGGAGGTTACAAAACCAGACGGTGTGAATAGAGCCTGATGGAGCGAGAGCTCATTTCACGAGGCAGGGGGTGGGGTGGGGTGGGGGTTGGGGTGTCTGTAGAGAGCCGGATTCTCCCTCGTGGGTGGCTACAGGATACAAATGAATATGGCTTCTTGGGCAGAGGGGCTTCCTTAGGCCATCACGTTTGCAAGACTATCTCTCAAAACCTCCCTTGAGGCCACAAAATAGATTCCACCCCACCCCTCGACGTTTCCCCGGATGCCGGATGTATCCTGTCAAGAGACCTGAGCCTGACACGTTGAGTGAAACAACTTTATTGGCTTCGTGTGTTTGTTTCTGAGATTGAGTCTTGCTCTGTCCCCCACCCCAGCTGGAGTGCAGTGGCATGATCTCAGCTCACTGCAACCTCTGCCTCCTGAGTTCCAGTGATTCTCCTGTCTCAGCGCCACCACGCCTGGCTCATTTTTTTATTTTTAGTAGACACAGGGTTTGACCCTGTTTCATTGGTTTTCACTGGAGATTCTAGATTCAAGTCACACCTCATTGTGTGCCACATAATGACTTCTTTTTTTTTCTTTTTTTTTTTAAGCACAATATATCTGCTTTATTTGAGTGGCTTTATATATCGTTATAATTGTGTTATAGATGAAGAAAAGATATTAACACAGTGCTAATGATAGTGAAAGTGAAAAACAAAAGAAAGGCTATCTATTTTGTAGTTAGAATAAAGTTGCTCAGTATTTAGAGTTTCCTAAATACGTCAGCATTTAAACTCCTCCTAGTAAAAGCTTGCCAATCTCAATAATCCTCCTTTAAACACAATTTTTGATATGGTTAAGGTTTTTAAGAATGCAACTCCTGCAGAATAGCTGAACAGACAATACACATTTAAAAAAGAACAACACAAGGATCAACCAGACTTGGGAAAAAATCAAAAACAACACAAGTCTTATGAAAAACTGAGTTCTTAAAATATTACGGAGAACATAGCTATCGGAAGAGAAGGCAGTATTGGTAAGTTGATTGTTACATTTTTCAGCAAAAGCTAGCACTATTTTTTTTGGCAATCTTTCAGGCACTGCAACTACTACTGCAAAATGAGATATAATCCATTAAACAACATATTCACAAATCAAAAAATGTTTTAGTAATATAATGCTTCAGATTTAAAAGCAAATCAAGTGTTAAAACTCAACTGCTATAATAATTAACCCCAAAGATAACCGTATCTGACAAAAAAGCTTCCACAGTTATGACTTCAGAATTATACTTTCTCTTGATATTTATTTATTTATTTATTTATTTTATTTTTTTCTTGAGACGGCGTCTCGCTCTGTCGCCCAGGCTGGTGTGCAATGGCATAATCTTGGCTCACTGCAACCTCCACTTCCTGGGTTCAATGACTGTGGCTCGCGCCTCTCTGGAAACATTGGAAATCTCTCTTCTACGCGCGGCCAACTGAAACCACAGGAGCTCGGAACACAAGCCACCATCCACCTCACTGCTTTCGGGAGAGAATGATGAGTCTCTTACCGACTCTCTCTTGAGAGAGTCCTCCGCGGTGGGGACCGAGGGCGGCTCGTCACCTACTGTGTGGCCCGCGCCTCCCCCTTCCGAGTCGGGGGAGGATCCCGCCGGGCCGGGCCGGCGTCCTAGCGGTTGGGAGGCTGCGCGAGCGGTGGCTGTGCCAGGCGTTCCGTCCGGCGCGTGACCCGCTCCGCTGCGAGCCGGCTCTCCACCCGCTCCCCTGAGGAGCAGCGACCGGTGCCGACAACCGCGTTTGCGTGGCACGGGGTTGGGATGCCTGGCCATGGGAAGCATCCCAAGTGGGGGGCGCGCCGGTCTCCCGGAGCTTGACAGTGTCGGAGGATGGACAAGAAACCAGCAACGTGGCCCTGGCGTTGGGTTTGTGGCTGAGGTCGCTTCGGGGTCCCGATGGCGGGACCCAGGCTCGTGAGGCGGGTCTCGGTGGGTGCCAGGGGCCGTCCGGCTTCCTAGGCGGGGCGCCGCGGGACCTCCCTCGTATCTGTGGCGGTGGGATCCCGTGGCCGTGTTTTCCTGGTGGCCCGGCTTTGCCTGAGGTTTCTTCCCGAGCCGCCCCTCTGCGGGCTCCCGGGTGCCCTTGCCCTTGCGGTCCCTGGCCTTGCCTGTCTGTGCCCCCCTCCCCGCCCGCGTATCCTCTCTCCCCGAGCGGCTCACCAGCTTAGGCTGTGGTGGCCCCCTCTGGGACCAAACCCGGCTCCGCCTTGTGTGGCGCTGCCACGGGCCACTGGTTGGCCGGTTGTCCCTGTCCCCGGGCGCGCGCCTTCCGGACCAGGTCGGCGGCGCTCCGCATGGGCCTGGTGAGAGCCCGGAGGGTATGGGGTCGGCGTGCAGCGCGCGCAGGGAAGAGGGTTCCGGGGGCTGGCCGCGATGGCGGAGGCGGTGGGGGAGCCGCGGGGCCGCCTTCATGCTTGGAGGCCGCTGGCGGTGAGATCCCGGGCACCGCGGTCCGCCTCTGGTTCGCTGCCCAAACGTCTGGGCTGCCCCGCGCCCGCCACGCCCGAGTGGCCGCCGGTCCCTCGCAGCTGCCGTGCACGGGTCGGGCGGTCTGCCTGTTCGCACGTGGGCGCGAAGGTTCGGGAGTGGTGAGCCCATCGGGGGGTGTTCTGTAGTGTGGGTGTATGGGATGTCCGGTTCGCCGCCCCACCACCCCCCTCCCACCGCCCCGCGCTGCTCCCTCCCTCCCACAAGCCGGGTCGCCCGCCCTGCCGCGCCCATCCTCGCGACTGGGACGCCGGGCTCATCCTCGCGAGGCCTGGAGGCCGCTTTCTACCTACTTGGTTGATCCTACCAGTACCATATGCTTGTCTCAAAGATTATGCCATACATGTCTAAGTAGGCAGGGCCGGTACAGTGAAACTGCGAATGGCTCATTAAATCAGTTATGGTTCTTTTGGTCGCTCGCTCCTCTCCTACTTGGAAAACTGTGGTAATTCTAGAGCTAATGCATGCCGAAGGGTGCTGACCCCCTTCGCGGGGAAGATGCCTGCATTTATCAGATCAAAACCAACCCGGTCAGCCCCTCTCCGGCCCCTGCCTAGGGGTCGAGTGCCACCGGCTTTGGTGACTCTAGATAGCCTCGGGCCAATCGCATGCCCCCCTGTGGCAGCAACGACCCATTCGAACGTCTGCCCTATCAACTTTCGATGGTAGTCGCTGTGCCTACCAAGGTGACCACGGGTGAAGGAGAATCAGGGTTCGATTCTGGAGAGGGAGCCTGAGAAATGGCTACCACATTCAAGGAAGGCAGCAGGCATGCAAATTACCCACTCCTGACTCGAGGAGGTAGTGATGAAACATAACAATACAGGACTCTTTCGAGGTCCTGTAATTGGAATGAGTCCACTTTAAATCCTTTAACGAAGATCCATTGGAGGGCAAGTTTAGTGCCAGCAGCCGCGGTAATTCCAGCTCCAATAGCGTATATTAAAGTTGCTGCAGTTAAAAAGCTCCTAGTTGGATCTTGGGAGCGGGCGGGCAGTCCGCCATGAGGCGAGCCACTGCCCGTCCCCGCCCCTTGCCTCTTGGCGCCCCCTCGATGCTCTTAGCTGAGTGTTCCGCGGCCCAAAGCGTTTACTTTGAAAAAATTAGAGTGTTCAAAGCAGGTCCAAGCCGCCTGGATACCGCAGCTAGGAATAATGGAATAGGACCGCGGTTCTATTTTGTTGGTTTATGGAACTGAGGCCATGATTAAGAGGGACAGCTGGGGGCATTTGTATTGCACCGCTAGAGGTGAAATTCTTGGACCGGCGCAGTTTGGACCAGAGTGAAAGCATTTGCCAAGAATGTTTTCATTAATCAAGAATGAAAGTCGGAGGTTCGAAGACGATCAGATACCGTGGTAGTTCTGACCATAAACGATGCCGACTGGCAACGTGGCGGTGTTATTCCCATGACCCGCTGGGCAGCTTCCAAGAAACCAAAGTCTTTGGGTTTTTAGGTTCCGGGGGGAGTACGGTTGCAAAGCTGAAACTTAAAGGAATTGGTGGAAGGGCACCACCAGGAGTGGAGCCTGCGGCTTAATTTGACTCAACATGGGAAAAATCCCCCGGGCCGGACAGGGACAGGATTGACAGATTGATAGCTGTTTCTCTGTTCCATGGGTGGTGGTGCATGGCCTTAGTTGGTGGAGTGATTTGTCTGGTTAATTCCAATAACCAACGAGACTCTGGCATGCTAACTAGTTACGTGACCCCCGAGCGGTCGGCGTCCCCCAACTTCTTAGAGGGACAAGTGGCCTTCAGCCACCCGAAATTGAGCAATAACAGATCTGTGATGCCCTTAGATGTCCGGGACTGCACGCGCGCTACACTGACTGGCTCAGCGTGTGCCTACCCTACGTGGCAGAGGCGGGTAACCTGTTGAACCTCATTCGTGATGGGGATGGGGGATTGCAATTATTCCCCATGAAGGAGGAATTTCCAGTAAGTGCGGGTCATAAGCTTGCCTGAAGTCCCTGCCCTATGTACACACTGCCCGCCTCTACTACTGATAGGATGGTTTAGTGAGGCCCTCTGATCAGCCCCGCCGGGTCAGCCCACTGCCCTGGTGGAACGCTGAGAAGACAGTCGAACTTGACTATCTAGAGGAAGTAAAATTCGTAACAGTTTCGGTAGGTGAACCTGTGGAGGGATCATTAACGGAGAAGAGCCTCGAAGCCGCGGCGGCGAAGCCACGGCGGCGCCGCCGCGTCCTTCCTCCTTGGCAGACCCTGTTCCCCGTGTGGCGCGTGCGCGGGCGGGGTCGTGCCCTTTGTTTGTTGCATGGCCCCGCCTGCCCTGAGAGCCGGAGAACTCGGGAGGGAGAGGGGGGGAGAGAGAGACACGCGTGCGGGGACGAAACCTTGTGTTCGTGTCGTGGGGCAGGCTGGATGGCTCGCCAGCCTGGTGAGTATCGGGGAGCGCCCCCCTGCCGTGGCCCCTACATGTGAGTCGGCGGGCGCGGGGATGGTTCTCGGCGTCATGGCGGGGTGGGGGTCTCGGTGCCCTCCCTGCCGGAGCCGTCGTCCCGCCCTGTCCCACCAGCTCGGCCCCATCCCGCCGGCTCCCGTTGGGGCCGGCCGGGTTCCCATTGCTGCCGCTGCCGCCATCCTTGCCTCTGCCACACCGCGCCACCGGGCCCGGCCTGGCCCGCTTGCTCTCTCCAGCCTTCCCGCTAGGGCGTCTCGAGGGTAGGGGGCCGGACGCCTGTCGCCCCCTCCTCGTCCGCCCCCGCCGTCCAGGTACCTAGCGCGTTCTGGCGCGGAGGTTTAAGGACCCCTTGGGGGGTTGTCCGTCCGCCCATGGGTCGGGTGCGGTGGGCCCGCGGGGGAGTCCGTTCGGGAGGGGCCCGCCCCTCCCTCGCCTCCCCCGCCGACTCCATCCCCTCGGCCAGCCGGGGCCGCGCCTCACTTTCAAGTCGCCGCTGACGCTGGTGGGGGCTTTACCGGCGGCCGTCGTGCCATCGCGCGCCTGCCGCGCGTATGGCCTGTGCACCGTGCTGTGGGGGCGGGAATCCCCGGGCGCCCGTGGGGTGCTGTCAGTGTTCGCCCTCCGCCCCCGTGGTCGACACCGCCTCCCTGTGTTGTGAAACCTTCCTACCCCTCTCTGGAGTCTGGTCTCGTTGCTGTCTGACTGGCGGGCCTGAGGGAAACCCTCTGGCGGACGTGCTGTGCCAGGAGGGCCTCCTGGTGTTGGGAGCGCCCTTGCCAAATCCACCTTGTATGACTTTTAGCGGTGGATCACTGGGCTTCTGTGTCGATGAAGAACGCAGCTAGCTGTGAGAACTAATGTGAATTGCAGGACAGATTGATCATCGACACTTCGAACGCAATTGCAGCCCGGGTTCCTCCCAGGGCTTTGCCTGTCTGAGCGTCGCTTGCCGATCAGTAGTCCCCGGGGGTGCCTCCGGGCTCCTCGGGGTGCATGGCTGGGGGTTCCCTGACGTGGCCTGCCGGGGCCCTCCGTCCCCCCAAGTGCAGACCGGCGACGTCCGCCCTCCTCTGCCGCCGTGCCCGCCCCTTCTCCCTCCCCCCGCAGGCCCTGTGTGGTCACGCATTGGGTGGCATGGGGAAGGGGGACTCCCGGCTGTGAGGAAGAGAGAGAGGGCGGCACCGCCACCCGCGAAAACAGAGAGGGAAGAGAGCCGGCTGGGGCCGAGTTCCCGTGGCCACCACCGCGGTCCAGATTCCTCCCTCGGAGGCTCCCTCGCGCCTCACGCAGCTCGTGGTGCGGGGTTCGTTGGCCCTGGCGGGGTGGAAGGTCCCGTGCCGTCGTTGTCGATCGTCGTGGGTAGTGGGGGCTTGTTGCCGGGGGGAGGAAGGCAAGTAGGAAGGATCCGCCAGGGAGAGGGTGGGGGAGCCCGTCCCGGTCGCCGCGGTTCGCCGCCGCCCCTGGTGGCGGTCCGGCGACCGGCCCACCATCGCTCCAGCGCCCCTCCTCCCCAACACCCCTCCGAGGCACAGTCCTCCTAGCCCGCCCGCCCCCCGCCTACCCGGCGCGCGTCGCGGTTGTGTCTGGGGCCGGAAGCCCGCCACGCGGCCCGTCTGGCAGCGCTAGTGGCCGCGGTCCTGGGGTTCACGTGCCCCTGGCGGTGACTCGCTGGATGCTGCAGTGTCGTCCGCCATCGCGCGCCCGCCTCCGACTCTCGGCCGCGCGGTGCCTGGGGCCCGGTCTGTAGCTTCCACGTCGGGGAAGGGCGTCGCCGCCGCTTCCTCGGACCCGTCCCCCACCTCCATTTAGTACGTAGGCAATCCCATGTAACTTAGCAAAGCTAGCAAGTCCCTAAACTCGGCGCAGCGACTGTAGGGGTGGCCTCCCAGTAGCATCATTAACATCAATTGTAATTGGTAGGCAATCACTTAGTTTCACATTTCATTACCCAAGGTATACAAATGTGTAAAAAAAAATACAGTTTTAATAAAAGGGAGTAAAGGATAATATGAGTAATATTCACAATCTCTAGCTGGAAGAGGTAGTGTTTTCTCAGAAATGATGCATTCCTGGAGCAAGGTCATTTTGTGTTTGGTTTGTTAAATATCTATTTCCATTTTGACAAACCACTGGAAAAGCCCAGCTTCACAAGGACTCCCCCATAAGAACGATCACACAAAAGAACACCCATAACACAAAATCAAAACAAGGATGGTCCAGGCGTCACATTAAAGGCTCATTACCAAGTTTTCTTAGAAGAGAAAAAGAGCACAAAGTTACTTTTATGTGATGGAAAACAGAGAAAAAGAGTAAATGGAACAACAAATGTTAGGCAACAACAGTGAAAACCAAGCCGTGGAAAGAAATGAATGGAAATGTTTTGTTTGGTATTGATTTCCTATCCTGATATCAGAAAGTATGGGAAAGAACAAAGCACATTTTTTTGAGACAAATAGAACATAAAACAAATGAATGTTAAAGACTATTTTACAGTGCTAACAAAACTATCTGTGACTTGTTTTTTCCCTTTAAAAATACGATTTTGTACAATTACATTTATATAAACTATTGAAATAAAATTGTAAAGATGGAGAACAGGCTATGGGATTGCCAAGGGGAAGGGGTGGAGGAAAACGTGTCAGAGTGTCAGCAAAGATCGCAAGTTGGAGCCTGGTGGTGAGGCTACTGTTCTGCATCTTGACTGTCGAAGTGGTAGTTACAGAGATCTACACCACATAAAAATGAACAGAACAAACGCACACACATACACACATACAAAAATGAATGCATGCAAAACGGTTGCGATCTGAGTAAGCTTTCTGAATTGTACCTATGTCAGTTTCCAGGTTTTGATAATGCTCTATGGCTATGTGAGATGTCACCACTGGAATTAGTGAAGAGTACCTAAGACATCCCTGTACCTTTTGCAACTTCCTGTGAATCTATAATTATTTCAAAAGAAACTTGAAAGTCATAGCAGACTTTCACTTCAAGGAGGAAAAAAACTGAAGATTAATGAAATTGTTGAAGAACATCAAATACTCAATAGTCTGTATGAGAGCTGTATTCTGTCCACTTGCAGCACAGCTGTCATTTAGCCTTTTCCTGATGTGCCCTGGAGGACTTGAGCTCCTCTTGGATTGCCAAGGCCGATAGTGTTTATTTGTTACTAACTTTGTACTGAACACCCCCAAAATGAAAAATGATTGAATAATCATTTATAATAGCAACTAGTAATTTTACTTATAAAGAGACAATAGTGGTAATGAATTTAAATATTTAGGGTAAAGAATAGGATCTTCGTTAGACAATACTGGCAAAATTTAGAAAGAAAAATAAGGAATCAGAAACATAAGTAGTTCAGTATTGTGAAAAAATTCTGGATCTGAGAAGCAAAAGAACAGAGATTGTATTGCATTTCTGCTCCAAACTTGATGAATCACCTTAGATGTGTTGTGTTTCTGTGCCAAAGCTGCTGAATCACCTTAGGCAATGCATGCCCTTTCCCTGAACCTGTTTTCTTTTCTACAAAATAAAGTGAGCTAGATCATCTCCGAGGTCCCCCAAATATTCACATTTTCGGCTCTACATGAACTTCAGTTGAATTCCTAATTTCAGTGTGGATAATACATGTGTGCTGCACCACAAGCAGTGTGTCTAAATGCTGATGTTGGTCCTAAAAACTAATTATGGGCAGTTTGGAAATTCTGTTGTTGTAGAATCTGCAAAGGGATATTTGTGAGCCCTTTGAGGCCATGGTGAAAAAGGAAATACCTTCACATAAAAACTATAAAGAAGGTTTGTGAGAAACTGCTTTGTGATGTCTGCATTCATCTCACCAAGTTAAACGTTTCATTCCTTTGATCAGTCTGGAAACTCTGTTCTTGTGCAATCTGCAAAGTGGTATTTGTGAGTGCTTTCAGGCCTATGGTAAGAAAGGAAATATCTTCACATAAAAACTAGACAGACACATTCTGAGAAACTACTTTGTGACGTGTGCATTCATCTAACAGAGTTAAACCATTCTTTTGATGGAAATGCTTGGAAATGGTGTTTTTGTAGAATCTGCAGAGGGATATTTGTGAGCACTTTGAGGCCTATGGTGAAAAAGGAAATATCTTCACATAAAAACTAGAAAGAAGGTTTATGAGAAACTGCTTTGTGATGTGTGTATTCGTCTCAGAGAGTTGAACCATTCTTTTGATTGAGCAGTTTGGTAACCGTCTTTTTGTAGAATATGCAAAGGGATATTTGTGAGCACTTTGAAGCCTATGGTGAAAAAGGAAATATCTTCACATAAAAACTAGAAAGAAAGTTTCTGAGAAACTGCTTTGTCATGTGTGAATTCATCTCACAGAGTTGAACCTTTCTATTGATTGAGCATTTTGGAAACAGTCTTTTTGGAGAATCTGCCAAGGGATATTTGTGAACACTTTGAGGCCTATGGTGAAAAAGGAAATATCTTTACATAAAAACTAGACAGAAGGTTTCTGAGAAACTGCTTTGTAATGTGTGCATTCATCTCAAAGAGGTAAACGTTTCTTTTCATTGAGCAGATGGGAAACTGTTTTCTTGTAGAATCTGCAAAGGGATATTTGTGAGCAGTTTGAGGCCTATGGTGAAAAAGGAAATATCATCGCATAAAAACTTGACAGAAGTTTCTGAGAAACTTCCTGGTTATGTATGCATTCATCTCACAGAGTTGAACCATTCTTTTGATTGAGCAGTTTGGTAACAATCTTTTTGTAGAATCTGCAAAAGGATATTCGTGAACGCTTTGAAGCCTATGGTGAAAAAGGAAATATCTTCACATAAAAACTAGAAAGAAGGTTTCTGAGAAACTGCTTTGTGATGTGTGAATTCGTCTCACAGAGCTAAACCTTTCTATTGATTGAGCATATTGGAAACAGCCTTTTTGTAGAATCAGCAAAGGGATATTTGTGAGCACTTTGAGGCCTATGGGGAAAAAGGAAATATCCTCACATGAAAACTAGACAGAAGGTTTCTGAGAAACTGCCTTGTAATGTGTGCATTCATCTCACAGAGGTAAATGTTACTTTTCATTGAGCAGATGGGAAACTCTTTCCTTGTAGAATCTGCAAAGGGATATTCGTGAGCCCTTTGAGGCCTATGGTGAAAAAGGAAATATCTTCATATAAAATGTAGACAGAAGCTTTCTGAGAGACTTATTTGTGATGTGTGCATTCATCTCATAGAGTTGAACCATTCTCCTTTTTTTTTTTTTTTTTTTTTGGAGCTCTGGGTTTATTTATTTATTTACTTTTATTATTATTATACTTTAAGTTTTAGGGAACATATGTACAATGTGCAGGTTTGTTACATATGTATACATGTGCCATGTTTGTGTGCTGCACCCATGAACTCATCATTTAGCATTAAGTATATCTCCTAATGCTATCCCTCACCCTCCCCCCACCCGACTACAGTCCCTGGTGTGTGGTGTGTGATGTTTCACTTCCTGTGTCCATGTGTTCTCATTGATCAATTCCCAACTATGAGTGAGAACATTTGTTTGATTTTTTGTCCTTGCGATAGTTTGCTGAGAATGATAGTTTCCAGCTTCATCCATGCCCCTACAAAGGACATGAACTCATCATTTTTTATAGCTACATAGTATTCCATGATGTATATGTGCCACATTTTCTTCATCCAGTCTATCATTGTTGGACATTTAGGTTGGTTCCAAGTCTTTGCTATTGTGAATAGTGCCACTATAAACATACGTGTGCATGTGTCTTTATAGCAGCATGAATTATAATCCTTTAGGTATATACCCAGTAATGGGAAGGCTGGGTCAAGTGATATTTCTAGTTCTAGATCCCTGAGGAATCACCACACTGACTTCCACAATGGTTGAACTAGTTTACAGTCCCACCAACAGTGTAAAAGTGTTCCTATTTCTCACATCCTCTCCAGCACCTGTTGTTTCCTGACTTTTTAATGATCGCCATACTAACTGGTGTGAGATGGTATCTTGTTGTGGTTTTGATTTGTATTTCTCTGATAGCCAGTGATGATGAGCATTTTTTCGTTTGTTCATTGGCTGCATAAATGTCTTCTTTTGAGAAGTGTCTGTTCATATCCTTCAACCACTTTTTGACGGGGTTGTTTGTTTTTTTCCTGTAAATTTGTCTGAGTTCATTGTAGATTCTGGATATTAACCCTTTGTCAGATGAGTAGGTTGCAAAAATTTCCTCCCTTTCTGTAGGATGACTGTTCACTCTGATGGTGGTTTCTTTTGCTGTGCAGAAGCTCCTTAGTTTAATTAGATCCCATTTGTCAATTTTGTCATTTGTTGCCATTGCTTTCGGTGTTTTAGACATGAAGTCCTTGCTCATGCCTATGTCCTGAATGGTATTGCCTAGGTTTTCTTCCAGGGATTTTATGTGAAGCATTCTTTTGATTAATCAGTTTGGATACTCTGTTCTTGTAGAATCTGCAAGGAGATATTTGTGAGCACTTTGAGGCCTTTGGTGAAAAAGGAAATACCTTCACATAATAAATAGACAGAAGTTCTCTGAGAAACTTCCCTGTCATGTGTGCATTCATCTCACAGAGTAGAAACAGTCTTTTTGCTGAGCAGTTTGAAAACTGTCTATTTGTAGAATCTGCAAAAGGATATTTATGAGTGCTTTGAGGCCTATGGTGAGAAAGGAAATATCTTTACATAAAAACTGGACAGAAGATTTTTGAGAAACCTCTTTGTGATGTGTGCATTTATCTCACAGAGTTGAACCATTCTTTTGATTGAGCAGTTTGTAAACAGACTTTTTGTAGAATCTGCAAAGGGATATTTGTCAGCTGTATGAGGCCTATGGTGAAAAAGGAAATATCTTCAATAAAAACTATAAAGAATGTTTCTGAGAAGCTGTTTTGCAAGATGTGCACTCATCTCAGAGAGATAAAAGTTTCTATTCTGTGATGAGTCTGGAAACTCTGTTCTTGTAAAATCTGCAAAGGGATATTTGTGAGTGGCTTTAGGCCTATGGTGAAAAAGGAAATATCTTCACCTAAAAACGAGACAGAAGCATTCTGAGAAACTTCTTTGTGATATGTGCATTCATCTCACAGAGTTGAACCACTCTTTTGATTGAGAAGTTTGGAAACAGTCTTTTTGTAGAATATGCAATTGGATATTTGGAGCGCTTTGAGGCCTATGGTGAAAAAGGAAATATCTTCACATAAAAACTACACAGAAGCATTCTGAGAAACTTCTTTGTGATGTATGCATTCATATCATGCAGTTGAACCTTTCTTATGATTGAGCAGTTTCAAAGCAGTCCTTTTGTAGAATATGCAAAGGGATATTTGTGAGCCCATTGGGGCCTATGGTGAATTAGGAAATATCTTCACATAAAAACTAGTCAGAAGATTTCTGAGAAACTTCCTTGTGATGTGTGATTTCATCTCACAGAGATGAAACTTTCTTTTGATTGAGCAGTTTGGAAACATACTTTTTGTAGAATCTGCAAATGGATATTTAGAGCGCTTTGAGAACTATGGTGAAAAAGGAAATATCTTCACATAAAAACTAGAAAGCAACATTCTATGAAACTTCTTTGTGATGTGTGCTTTCATCTCACAGAGTTGAACCTTTCTATTCATTGACCAGTTTGGAAACCATCTTTTTGTAGAATCTGCAAATGGATATTTGGAGCATTTTGAGGCCTTGGTGAGAATGGAAATATCTTCACATAAAAACTAGATAGAAGCATTCTGAGAAACTTCTTGGTGACGTGTGCATTTATCACACAGAGTTATACCTTTCTTTTGATTGAACACTTTGGAAACAGTCTTTTTGTAGTATCTGTAGAGGGATGTTTGCGAGCAGTTTGAGGCCTATGGTGAAAAAGGAAATATCTTCACATAAAAACTAGACAGAAGGTTTCTAAGAAACTTATTTGAGATGTGTGCTTCCATCTCACATAGTTGAACATTTGATTGGGCAGTTTGGAAACACTCTTTTTGTAGAATCTGCAAATGGATATTTGGAGCACTTTGAGGCCTATGGTAAAAAAGGAAATATCATCACAAAAAATTAGACGGAAACATTCTGAGAAACTTCTTTGTGACGTTGGCATCCATCTCACACAGTTGAACATTTCTTTTATTGAAGATTTGGAAACAGTCTTTTTGTAAAATCTACAAAGGGATAATTGTGAACCCTTTGAGGCCTATGGTGAAGTAGGAAATATCTTCACATAAAAACTACACAGAAACATTCTGAGAAACTTTTTTGTGATGGGTGCATTCAACTCACAGAGTTGAAGCTTTCTTTTGCTAGAGCAGTTTGGAAACAGTCCTATTGTAGAATCCCCAAAGGGATATTTCTGAGCCCATTGAGGCCTTTGGTGATATAGGAAATACCTTCACATAAAAGCTAGACAGAAGCTTTCTGAGAAACTTCTTTTCAATGGGTGCTTTCATCTCAAAGAGTTGAGTGTTTCTTTTGACTGAGAAGTTTGGAAACACTCTTTGCATAATCTGCAAATGGATAATTGGAGCATTTTGAGGCCTATGGTGAAAAAGGAAATATCTTCACATAACAACTAAACAGAAGCTTTCTGAGAAACTACTTTGTAATGCGTGCATTCATCTCACAGAGTTGAAACTTTCTTTTGATTGAGCCGTTTGTAAACAGTCTTTTTGTATAATCTGCAAATGGATATTTGGAGTGCTTTGAGGCCTATAGTGAAAAAAGAAATATCTTCACAAAAAAACTAGAAAGAAACATTCTGAGAAACTTCTTTGTGATATGTGCTTTCATCTCACAGAGTCGAACCTTTCTTTTCATTGAGCAGTTTGGAAACAGACTTTTTATAGAATCTGGAAATGCATATTCGGAGTGCTTTGAGGCCTATGGTGAAAAAGGAAATATCTTCAGATAAACACTAAACAGAAGCTTTCTGAGAAACTTCTTTGTGATGTGTGCATTCATATCACAGAGCTGAAACTTTCTTTTGATTTAGCAATTTGGCGAAAGTGGAGTTATATTTGTGAGCGGTTTAAGGCCTATGGTGCAAAAGGAAATACCTTCACATAAAAAGTAGACAGAAGCTTTCTGAGAAACTTCTTTGTGATGTGTGCTTTCGTCTCACAGAGTTGAGCCTTTCTTTTGATTGACCAGTTTGGAAACATTCTTTTTGTAGAATCTGCAAATGGATATTTGGAGAGATTTGAGGCCTATGGTGAAAAAGGAAATATCTTCACATAAAAACTAGACAGAAGAATTCTGAGAAACTTCTTTGTGATGAGTCCATTCATCTCACAGAGTTGAAACATTTTTTGATGGACCAGTTTGGAAATAGTCTTTTTGTAGTATCTGCAGAGGGATATTTTTGAGCTGTTTAAAGACTATGGTGAAAAAGAAAATATCTTCACTTAAGAACTAGACAGAAGCATTCTGAGAAACTTCTTTGTGATGTGTGCATTCATCTCACAATGTTGAACCTTTCTTTTGATTGAGCAGTTTGGAAACAGAACTTTTGTAGAATCTGTAATGGGATATTTGTAAGCCCATTGATTCCTATGGTGAAATAGGAATTATCTTGAGATAAAAACTAGACAGAAGATTTCTGAGAAACTTCTTTGTGATGTGTGCTTTCATCTCACAGAGTTGAAGATTTTTTTTGATTGAGCAGTTTGGAAACAGTCTTTTTGTATAATCTGCAAATGGATATTTGGAGCACTTTGTGGCCTAAGGTGAAAATGGAAATATCTTCACATAAAACCTAGACAGAAGAATTCTGAGAAACTTCTTTGTGATGTGTGCATTCATCTCAGAGAGGTGAACTTTTCTTTTGATGGAGCAGTTTGGAAACAGTATTTTTTTAGTATCTGCAGAAGGATATTTGTTAGCGGTTTAAGGCCTATGGTGAAAAAGTAAATATCTTCACATAAAAACTAGAAAGAAGCTTTCTGAGAAACCTCTTTGTGATGTGTGCATTCATCTCACAGTGTTGAAACTTTATTTTGCTTGAGCAGTTTAGAAACAGTCTTTTTCTGCAATCTGCAAAGGTATATTTCTGAGCCATTTGAGGTCTATGGTGAAAAAGAAATATCTTCACATTTAAACTAGACAGAAGGATTCTGAGGAACTTCTTTGTGATGTCTCCATTCATTTGACAGAATTGAACGTTTCTTTTCATTCAGAAGTTCGGCAATGGTATTTTTGTAGAATCTGCAAAGGGATATTTGTGAGCCATTTGAAGCCTATAGTGAAATAGTAAATATCTTCACATAAAAACTAGACAGAATAATTCTGAGAAACTTCATTCTAATGTGTGCATTCACCTCACAGAATTTAGCCTTTCTTCTGATTGAGCAGTATGGAAATGGTCCTCTTTTAGAATCTGCAAAGGGGTATTTCTTAGCCCTTTGAGGCCTATGGTGAAACTGGAAATATCTTCACATGAAAACTAGACCGAAGCTTTCTGAGAAACTTCTTTGAGATGTGTGCTTTCATCTCACAGAGTTAAACCTTTCTTTTGATTGAGCAGTTTGGAAACACTCTTTTTGTGAAATGTGTAAGTGGATATTAGGAGTGCTTTGAGGCCAATGGTGACAAAGGAAATATCTTCACATAAAAACTAAACAGAAGTTTTCTGAGAAACTACTTTTTGATGTGTCCATTATCTAACAGAGTTGAAACTTTCTTTTTATAGAGCGGTTTGGATACAGTCTTTTTGTAGAATCTGCAAAAAATATTTGTGAGCACTTTATTGCCTATGGTGAAATAGGAATTTTCTTCACATATAAACTAGACAGAAGCATTCTGAGAAACTTCTTTGTGATGTGTGCATTCATCTCACAGAGTTGAAACTTTCTTTGGATTGAGCAGTTTGGAAACAGTCCTTTTGTAGAATCTGCAAAGGGATATTTCTGAGCCCATTGAGTACTATGGTGAAATGTGAAATATCTTCACATAAAAACTAGACAGAAGCTTTCTAAGAAACTTGTTTGTGATGTATGCTTTCATCTCACAGAATTGAAACTTTCTTTTAATTGAGGAGTTTGGAAACACTCTTTTTCTAGAATCTGCAAATGGATATTTGGAGCGCTTTGAGGCCCATGGTGGAAAATGAAATATCTTCACATAGAAACTAAATAGAAGTTTTCTGAGAAACTTCCTTGTGATGTGTGCATTCATCTCACAGAGTTGAACCTTTCTTTTGATTGAGCAGGTTGGAAAGAGGCTTATTGTACAATCTGCAAAGGGATAATTCTGATACATTTGAGGCCTATGGTGAAAGAGAAATATCTTCACGTAAAAACTAGACAGAGTCAGTCCGAAAAATTTCTTTCTGATGTGTCCATTCATCTCACAGAGTTGAACGTTTCTTTTGATTAAGCAGTTTGGAAACAGTCTTTTTGTAGAACCTTCAAAGGCATATTTGTGAGCCCTTTATGGCCTCAGGTGAAATAGGAAATATCTTCACATACAAACTAGAGAGAAGCTGTCTGAGTAACTTTTTTGTGATGTGTGCTTTCATCTCAGAGATCTAAAAATTTGTTCTGATTGATCAGTTTGGAAACAGTTTTTTTGTAGAATCTGCCAATGGATTGCTTTGAGGCCTATGTTGAGAAAGGAAATATCTTCACATAAAAACAAGACAGAAGATTTATGAGAAACTTCTTTGTTATGTGTGCATTCATCTCACAGGTTTGAACCTTTCTTTTGATTGAGCAGTTTGGAAACAGTCTTTTAGTACAATCTACAAAGGGATATTTCTGAATGGTTTGATGCCTATAGTGAAAAAGAAATATCTTCACATAAAAGCTAGACAGAAGCGTTATGAGAAAGTAATTTATTATGTGTGCATTCATCTCACAGAGCTGAACCTTTCTTTTCATGGAGCAGTTCAAAAACTGTGTTTTTGTACAGTCTGCAAAGGGATATTTGTGAGACCTTTGAGGCCTATGGTGATATAGGAAATATCTTCACAAAAAAAGTAGACAGAAGCATTGTGAGAAACTTCTTTGTGATGTGTGCTTTCTTCTCACAGATTTGAATCTTTCTTTTAATTGAACAGTTTGGAAACTCTCTTTTTGTAGATTCTGCAAAAGGATAATTGGAGCACTTTGAGGCCTATGGTGAAAAAAGGAAATATCTTCACTTAAAAACTAAACAGAAGCTTTCTGAAAAACTTCTCTGTGATGTGCATATTCATGTCATAGTGTTGAACTTTTGTTTTCATTGAGCAGTTTGGAAACCATCTTTTTGTACAATCTGCAAAGGGATATTTCTGAGCGGTTTGAGGCCTAAGGTGAAAAACAAATATCTTAACATAAAAACTAGACAGAGGCATTCTGAGAAACTTCTTTTTCATGTGTGCATTCTTCTTCCAGAGTTAAACCATTCTTTTCATTGAGAAATTCAGAAATAGTCTTTTTGTAGAATTTGCAAAAGGATATATGTGAGCCCACTGAGGCCCATGATGAAATGGGAAATATCTTCACAGTAAAACTAGACAGAAGCATTCTGAGAAACTCCTTTGTGATCTTTGCATTCATCTCACAGAGTTGAAACTTTCTTTTGATTGAGCAGTTTGGAAAAACTCTTTTTGAAGTATCTGCAAATGGATATTTGGAGTGCTTTGTGGTTTGTGGTGTAAAACTAAATATCTTCACATAAAATCTAGTGAGAAACTTTCTGAAGAACTTCTTTGTGATGTGTGCTTTCATCTCACAGAGGTGAAAATTTATTTTGATTGAGCAGTTTGGAAACAGTCTTTTGTAGAATCTGTAAATCGATATTTGGATCACTTTGAGGCCTATCATTAGAAGGGAAATATCTTCACATAAAAACTAGACAGAAGGATTCTGAGAAATTTCTTTGTGATGTGTGCTTTTTCATCTCACAGAGTTGAACCTTTCTTTTGATGGAGCAGTTAGGAAACAGTCTTTATCTACAATCTGCAAAGGGATATTTCAGAGGGGTTTGAGGCCTACAGTGAAAAAGAAATATCTTCATATAAAAACTAGACAGAAGCATTCTGAGAAACTTCTTTGTGATGTGTACTTTCATCTCACAGGTTTGAACCTTTCTTTTGATTGAGCAGTTTGGAAACAGTTTTTTTGTACAATCTACAAAGGGATATTTCTGAACGGTTTGTTGCCTATGGTGGAAAAGAAATATCTTCACATAAAAACTAGACAGAAGCATTCTGAGAAACTTCTTTTTTATGTGTGCATTCGTCTCACAGAGTTGAACTTTTCTTTGCATGGAGCAGTTCAAAAACAATCTTTTTGTAGAGTCCACAAAGGGATATTTGTGAACTCTTTCAGGCCTATGGTGAAATATGAAATATCTTCACATAAAAACTAGACAGAAGCATTATGAGGAACTTTTGTGATGTGTCCTTTCATCTCACAGAGTTGAACATTACTTTTGATTGAGCAGTTTGGAAACACTCTTTTGTAGAATCTGCAAATGGATGTGTGGAGTGCTTTGAAGCCTATAGTGAAAAAGGAAATATCTTCACATAAAAACTAAACAGAAGCTTTCTGAAAAACTTCTTTGTGATGGGTGCATTCATCTCACAGAGTTGAACCTTTTTTTGGTTGAGCAGTTTGGAAACAGTCTTTTTGTGGAATCTGCAAATGGATATTTGGAACGCTTTGAGGCCTATTGTGAAGAAGGAAATATCTTCACATAAAAACTAGACAGAAACTTTCTGAGAAACTTCTTTGTGATGTTTGCATTCATCTCACAGAGTGGAACCTTTCTTTTCATTTGACAGTTTGGAAACAGTCTTTTTGTACAATATGCAAAGGGATATTTCTGAACGGTTTGAGGCCTATGGTGAAAAATATATATGTCAGATAAAACTAGACAGAAGCATTCTGAGAAACTTCTTTTTCATGTGTGCATTTATCTCACAGAGTTGAACCCTTCTTTGCATGTAGCTGTTTGGAAACAGTCTTTTTCTACAATCTGCAAATGGATATTTGGAGCACTTTGAGGCCTGTGGTGAAAAAGGAAATATCTTCACATAAAAACTAGACAGAAGCATTCTGAGAAAGTTCTTTGTGATGTGTGCATTCATCTCACAGAGACGAAAGTTTCCTTTGATAGAACACTTTTCAAGCAGTCTTTTTGTAGTATCTGCAGAGGGATATTTGGGAGTGGTTTAAGGCCTATGGTGAAAAAGGAAATATCTTCACATAAAAACTAGACAGAAGCATTCTGACAAACTTCTTTATGATGTGCACATGCATCTCACAAAGTTGAACCTGTCTTTTCATTGAGCAATTTGGAAAAGTCTTTTTGTTCAATCTGCAAAGGGATATTTTTTAGTCATTTGAGGCCTATGGTGAAAAAGACATATCTTTACACATAAACCAGACAGAAGCTTTCTGAGAAACTTCTTTGTGATGTGTCCATTCATCTCACAGAGTTGAACCTTTGTTTTGATTGAGCTGATTGGAAATACTCTTTCTGTAGAGTCTGCAAAGGGATATTTGTGAGCCCTTTATGGCCTATGGTGAAATAGGAAATATCTTCACATAAAAACTAGACAAACATTCTGAGAAACTTATTTGTTATGTGTGCTTTCATCTCACAGAGTTGAAACTTTCTTTTGATTGAGCACTTTGAAAAGAGGCCTTTTGTAGTATCTGAGAAGAGATATTTTTGAGCCCATTGAGGCCTATGGTGAAAGAGGAAATATCTTCACATATAAGCTAGAAAAAAACTTTTTGAGAAAATTCTTTGTGTGTGTGCTTTCATCTCACAGAGTAGAATCTTTCTTTTCATTGAGCAGTTTGGAAACAGTCTTTTTGTAACATCTGCATAGGGATATTTCTGAGCAGTTTGAGGCCTATGGTAACAAAGAAATATCTTCACATAAAAACTAGACAGAAGCATTCTGAGAAACTTCTTTTTTAGGTGTGCATTCATCTCACAGAGTTGAAACTTACTTTTCATTGAGCAGTTCTGTAACAGTCTCTTTGTAGAATCTGCAAAAAGGATATTTGTGAGCCCTTTGAGGCCCATGGTGAAACAGGAAATACCTTCACTTAAAAACTAGATGGAAGCATTCTGAGTAACTTCTTTGTCATTTGTGTTTTCATCTCACAGAGTAGAACCTTTCTTTTGATTGAGCAGTTTGGAAAAAGTCTTTTTGTACAATCTACAAAAGATATTTTGTGCACTTTGTAGACTATGGTGAAAAAGGAAATATCTTCACATAAAAACTAGAAAGAAACTTTCTGAGAAAGTTCTTTGTGATGTGCACTTTCTTTTTATTTTATTTTATTTTATTATTATTATACTTTAAGTTTAAGGGTACATGTGCACAATGTGCAGGTTACTTACATATGTATACATGTGCCATGCTGGTGTGCTGCACCCATTAACGCGTCATTTAGCATTAGGTATGTCTCCTAATGCTATCCCTCCCCCCTCCCCTCACCCCACAACTGTCCCCAGAGTGTGATGTTCCCCTTCCTGTGTCCATGTGTTCTCATTATTCAATTCCCAACTATGAGTGAGAACATGCGGTGTTTGGTTTTTTGTCCTTGCGATAGTTTACTGAGAATGATGATTTCCAATTTCATCCATGTCCCTACAAAGGACATGAACTCATCATTTTCTATGGCTGCATAGTATTCCATAGTGTATATGTGCCACATTTTCTTAATCCAGTCTATCATTGTTGGACATTTGGGTTGGTTCCAAGTCTTTGCTATTGTGAATAGTGCCACAATAAACATACGTGTGCATGTGTCTTTATAGCAGCATGAAACCAATGAGAACAAAGACACAACATAACAGAATCTCTGGGACACATTCAAAGCAGTGTGTAGAGGGAAATTTATAGCACTAAATGCCCACAAGAGAAAGCAGGAAAGATCCAAAATTGACACACTAACATCACAATTAAAAGAACTAGAAAAGCAAGAGCAAGCACATTAAAAAACTAGCAGAAGGCAAGAAATAACTAAAATCAGAGCAGAACTGAAGGAAATAGAGACACAAAAAACTCTTCAAAAAAGTAATGAATCCAGGAGCTGGTTTTTTGAAAGGATCAACAAAATTGATAGACCACTAGCAAGACTAATAAAGAAGAAAAGAGAGAAGAATCAAATAGATGCAATAAAAAATGATAAAGGGTACATCACCACCTATCCCACAGAAATTCAAACTACCATCAGAGAATACTACAAACACCTCTATGCAAATAAACTAGAAAATCTAGAAGGAATGGATAAATTCTTTGACACATACACCCTCCCAAGACTAAACCAGGAAGAAGTTGAATCTCTGAATAGACAAATAACAGGCTCTGAAATTGAGGCAATAATCAATAGCTTACCAACCAAAAAGAGTCCAGGATCAGATGGATTCACAGCCAAATTCTACCAGAGGTAAAAGGAGGAACTGGTACCATTCCTTCTGAAACTATTGCAATCAATAGAAAAAGAGGGAATCCTCCCTAACTCATTTTATGAGGCCAGCATCATCCTGATACTAAAGCTGGCAGAGACACAACCAAAAAAGAGAATTTTAGACCAATATCCTTGATGATCATTGATGCAAAAATCCTCGATAAAATACTGGCAAGCTGAATCCAGCAGCACATCAAAAAGATTATCCACCATGAACAAGTGGGCTTCATCCCTGGGAGGCAAGACTGGTTCAATATACACAAATCAATAAATGTAATCCAGCATATACACAGAACCAAAGACAAAAACCACACAATTATCTCAATAGGTGCAGAAAAGGCCTTTGACAAAATTCAACAACCTTCATGCTAAAAACTCTCAATAACTTAGGTATTGATGGGACGTATCTCAAAATAATAAGAGCTATCTATGAAACTTCTTTGTGATGTGTGCATTTATCTCACAGAGTTGAACCTTTCTTTTGATTGGGCAGTTTGGAAACAGTCTTTTTGTAGAATCTGTAAAGTGATATGTTTCAGCGGTTTGAGTCCTATGGTGAAAAAGGAGATATCAAAAAATAAAATGTAGACAGCAGCTTTCTGAAAAACTTCTTTGTGATGTGTGCATTCATCTCACAGGGTTGAAACTTTCTTTTGATTGAGCAGTTTGGAAACAGTCTTTTCATAGAACATGCAAAGTGATATTTGTGAACTGTTTGAGGCTTATGGTGAAAAAGGAAATATCTTCACATAAAAACTAGACTCATGTTTTCTGGGAAACTTCTTTGTGATGGGTGTATGCATCTCAAAGAGTTGAATCTTTGTTTTGATTGAGCAGTTTGGAAACACTCTTTTTGGAGAATCTGCAAAGGGATGTTTTTGAGTGGTGTGAGGCATGTGGTGAAAAAGGAAATATCTTCATATAAAAACTAGACAGAAACATTATGATAAATCACTTTGTGATGTGTGCATTCATCTCACAGAGTTGAATTTTCTTTCATTGAGCAGTTTGGAAACAGTCTTTTTGTAGAATATGCAAAGGGATATTTGTGAGCTTTTTGAGGCCTATTGTGAAAAAGGAAATCTCCACAAATAAAATCTAGACAGAACCCTTCTGAGAAACTTCTTTGTGATGTGTGTGTTCATCACACAGAATTGAACCTTTCTTTTGATTGAGCAGTTTGGAAACAGTCTTTTCATAGAATCTGCAAAGGAAAATTTGTGAACGCTTTGAGGCTCATGGTGAAAAAGAAGTATCTTCACATAAAAACTAGACAGAAACCTTCTGAGAAACTTCTTTGTGATATGCACTTTCATCTCACACAGCTGAACTTTCGTTTGATTGAGCAGTTTGGAAACTGTCCTTTAGTAGAATCTGAAAACGGTTATTTATGAGCAGTTTGAGGCCTACGGTGAAAAACGGAGTATCAACAAATAAAACCTAGACAGAAACTTTCTGAGAAACTTCTCTCTGATGTGTGCATCCATCTCACAGAGTAAAAACTTTCTTTGATTGAGCAGTTTGGAAACAGTCTTTTTGTAGAATCTGCAAAGGGATATATGTAGGCAGTTTCAGGTCTATCATGAAAACGGAAATATCTTCACATAAAAACTAGACAGAAGGTTTCTGAGAAAATTCTTTGAGATGTGCTCATTCATCTCACAGATTTGAAGTGTTCTTTTCATTGACCAGCTTGGATAGAGTCTTTTTGTAGAATCTGCTTTGTGATATTTGTGAGCCCTTTGAAGCCTATGGTGAAAAAAGAAATATCTTCACACAAAAACTAGACAGAAGTTTCTGAGAAACTTCGTTGTGATGTGTGCATTCATCCCAAAGAGTTGAACCTGTCTTTGGATTAAGCAGTTTGGAAACAGTCCTTTGTAGAATGTACAAAGGGATATTTGAGATCCCTTTTTGGCCTATGGTGAAAAAGGAAATGTCTTCACATAAAAACTAGACAGAAGCATTCTGAGAAACTTCTTTTTGATCTGTTCATTCTTCTCACAGAGTTGAACCTTTCTTTAGATAGAGCAGGTTGGAAAATGCCTTTTTGTAGAATCTGCAAGTTGATAATTTGAATGCTTTGAGACTTACGGTGAAAAAGGAAATATCTTCACATAAAAACTGGATGGAAGCTTTCTAGAAACTTCTTTGTGATGTGTGCATTCATCTCAAAGAGTTGAAGCTTTGTTTCAGTTGAGCAGTTTGGGAACAGTCTTTTTGTAAAATCTGTAAAGGGACATTTGTGAGCACTTTGAGGCCTATATTGAAAAAGGAAGCATCTTCAAATAAAAACTAGACAGAAGCTTTCTGAGAAACTTCTTTGTGATGTGTGCATTCACCTCACAGAGTTGACCCTTTCTTTTGATTGAGTAGTTTGGAAACACTCTTTTTGTAGAATCTGCAAAGGGTTATTTATGAGTGGTTTGAGGCCTATGGTGAAAAAAAGAGTATCAGCAAATAAAAACTAGACAGAAACTTTCTGGGAAAATTCTCTGTAATGTGTGCATTCATCTCACAGCGTGGAAGCTTTCTTTGATTGAGCAGGTTGGAAATAGTCTTTTTGTAGAATCTGCAAAGGGATATATGTGGGTGGTTTGAGGTCTATCGTGAAAATGGAAATATCTTCACATAAAAACTAACTGTTCAATGGGAAGAAACTTTTACTTGAGTGTGATGAATGCACACGTCACAAAGGAGTTACTCAGAAAACTTCTTTCTACTTTTAATGTGAAGATATTTCCTTTTTCACCATATGCCTCAACACACTCCCAGATATCCCTTTGCAGATTCTACAAAAAGACTGTTTCCAAACTGCTCAATAAACAGAATGGTTCAACCCTGTGAGACGAATGTGCACATCACAAAGAAGTTTCTCAGAAAACTTCCTTCTCGTGTTTATGTGAAGATATTTCCTTTTTTAACATAGGCCTCAATTCACTCTCAAATATACCTTTGCAGAATCTACAAAAAGACTGTTTCCAAAGTGCTCAATCAAAAGAAAGTTTCAACTCTGTGAGATGAATGCACACATCAGAAAGTAGTTTCTCAGCAAGCTTCTCACTAGTTTTTATGTGAAGATAGTTCCTTTTTCAATGTGGGTCTCAAAGCACTCAAAAATATCCCTTTGCAAACTCTAGAATAACAGAGTTTACAAACTGCTCAATGAAAAGAAACGTTTACCTCTGTGAGATGAATACACATATCTTAAAGCAGCTTCTCAGAATGCTTCTTTCTAGTTTTTATGTGAAGATATTTCCTTTTTCACCATAGGCCTCAATGCACTCCTAAATATCCCTTTGCAGATTGTACAAAAAGACTGTTTCCAAACTGCTCAATCAAAAGAAATGTTAAACTCTATGAGATAAATGCACACATCACAAAAAGTTTCTCAGAATACTTTTTTCTAGTTTTTATGTGAAGTTAATTCCTTATTCACCATAGGCCTCAAAGCACTACAAATATCCCTCTGCAGATTCTACAAAAAGACTGTTTGCAAACTGCTCAATCCAAAGAATGTTTCAACTCTGTGAGATGAATGCACACACCACAAAGAAGTTTCTCAGAAACTTTCTTTATGGTTTTTCTGTGAAGATATTTCCTTTTTCACCATAGGCCTCAAAGCCCTCACAAATATCCCTTTGCAGATTCTACAAAAAGACTGTTTCCAAACCGCTCAATAAAAATAATTATTGACCACTGTGAGATGAATGCACACAGCTCAAAGAAGTTTCTCAGAATCCTTCAGTCTGATTTTTATATGAATATATTTCCTTTTAAGGCCTCAAAGCACTCCAAATATCCATTTGCAGATTTTACAAAAAGACTGTTTCCAAATGGCTCAATCAAAACAAAGGTTCAACTCTGTGTGATGAATGCACACATCATGAAAAAGTTTCTCAGAATGCTTCTGTCTAGATTTTATGTGAAGATACTTGCTTTTTCACCATAGGCCTCAAAGTGCTCACAAATATCCCTTTACAGATTCTACAAAAATACTTTTTCCAAATTGCTCAATCAAAAGAAAGGTTCAACTCTGTGAGATGTATGCACACCACAAAGAGGTTTCTCAGAAAGCTTCTCTCTAGTTTTTATGTGAAGATATTTCCTTTTTGACCATAGGCCTCCAAGTGTTCACAAATATCCCTTTGCAGATTCTACAAAAAGACTCTTTACACATTGCTCAATCAAAAGAATATTTCAACTCTGTGACGTGAATGCTCACATCACCAGGATGTTTCTCAGAAAGCTTCTGTGTAGTTTTTATGTGAAGATATTTCCTTCTTCACCATACGCCTCAAAGGGCTCACAAATATCCCTTTGCAGATTTTACAAGAAAAGAGTTTCCAATCTTCTCAATGAAAAGAGACACATCTGGGAGATGAATGAACATATGACAAAGCAGTTTCTGAGAAACATTCTGTCTAGTTTTTATGTGAAGGTATCTCCTTTTTCACCACAGGATGCAAAGCGCTCAAAATTGTTGCTTTGCAGAATCTACAAAAACATTGTTTCCACACTGCTCATCAAAGGAAAGGTTCGCATCTGTGAGATGAATGCATGTGTCAAAAAGAAGTTTCTCAGAAAGCTTCTATTAAGTTTTCATGTGAATGTTTCCTTTTTCACCATGAGCCTCAAAGTGCTCACAAATATCCAGTTGAGGAATATTTAAAAAGACTGTTTCCAAACCGCTCAACCAAAAACAAAAGGTTGAACTGTGTGAGATGAATGCACACATCACAAAGAAGTTTCTCAGAAACTTTCTTTATAGTTTTTCTGTGAAGATATTTCCTTTTTCACCATAGGCCTCAAAGCCCTCACAAATATCGCTTTGCAGATTCTACAAAAACACTGCTTCCAAACCACTCAATAAAAAGAATTATTGAACTTTGTGAGATGAATGCACACATCTCAAAGAAGTTTCTCAGAAACCTTCAGTCTGGTTTTTATGTGAATATATTTCCTTTTTCACCATAGGCCTCAAAGTGCTCCAAATATCCATTTGCAGGTTCTACAAAAAGACTGTTTCCAAACGGCTCAATGAAAAGAAAGTTTCAAGTTTGTGAGATGAATGCACACATCACTGAGAAGTTTCACAGGAAGCTTCTGTCTAATTTTTATATGAAGACATTTCCTTTTTCACCATAGGCCTCCATCTGTTCACAAATATCCCTTAGCAGATTCTACAAGAACAGAATGTCCAGACTGATCAAAGAAAACAAACGTCTTTCTCTGTGAGATGAATACACACATCACAAAACTGTTTCTCAGAAACCTTCTTTATACTTTTTATGTGATGATATTTCTTTTTTCTCCCTAGGACAAAAAGCACTCAAAAATATCCCTTTGCAGATTCTACAAAAAGATTGTTTCCAAACTGCTCAATCAAAAAAATAGTTCAACTCCATGAAATGAATGCATACATCCAAAGAAGTTTATCAGAAACCTTCTTTATAGTTTTTATGTGAAGATATTTCCTTTTTCACCATAGGCCTCAAAATGCTCAGCAATATTCCCTTGCAGATTCTGCAAAAAGACTGCTTCCCACCTGCTCAATCAAATAAATGTTTAAACTCTGTGAGACGGATGCACACATTACAAAGAGGTTTCTCAGAAATCTTCTGTCCATTTTTTATGTGAAGATATTTCTTTTTTCACCATAGCACTCAAAGTTCTGACAAATATCCCTTGCAGATTCCACAAACAGACCGTTTTCATACTGCTCAATCAAAAGTAAGTTTCATCTTTGTGAGATGAATGCCCACATCACATAGAGATTTCTCAGAAAGCCTCTCTCTAATTTTTATGTGAAGATATTTCCTTTTTCACCATAGGCCTCAAAGCACTCACAAATATCCCTTTGCAGACTCTACAAGAACAGTTTCCAGACTGACCAGAGAAAAGAAACGTTTACCTCTGTGAGATGAATGCATATATCACAAAGCTGTTTCTGAGAAACCTTGTTTATACTTTTTATGTGAATATATTTCCTTTTTCACCATAGGTCTCAAAGCACTCATAAATATCCCTTTGCAGATTCTACAAAAAGACTGTTTCCAAACTGTTCAATCAAAAGAATGGTTGAACTCTGTGAGATGAATACACACATCACAAAGAAGTTTCTCAGAAAGCTTCTGTCTAGTTTTTATGTGAAGATATTTCCTATTTCATCATAGGTCTCATAGCTCTCAAAAATATGCCTTTACAGATTCTACAGAAATACCGTATCCAAATTGCTCAATCCAAAAAGAGGTTCAAATCTGTGAGATGAATGCACACAACACAAGGAGGTTTCTCAGAAAACTTCTCTCTAGTTTTCATGTGAAAATATTTCCTTTTCCACCATAGGCTTCAAAGCATCACAAATATTCCTTTGCAGATTCTACCTACCAAAATACTGTTTACAAACTGCTCAATCAAAAGAATGTTTCAACTCTGTGAGATGAGTTCTCACATCTCCAAGATGTTTCACAGAAAGCTTCTGTCTAGTTTTTACTTGAAGATGATTCCTTTTTCACCATACACCTCAAAGCACTGACAAATATCCTTTTGCAGATTTTACAAGAACAGAATTTCCAATCTGCTCAAAGGAGAGAAATTGTTACCTCTGTGAGATGAAAGCACACATCGCAAAGCAGTTTCTCAGAAATATTCTGTCTAGTATTTATGTAAAGATAATTCCTTTTTCAACACAGGACACAAAGCGTTAACTAATAACCCTTTGGAAATTCTGCAAAATACTGTTTCCAAATTGCTCATCAAAAGAAAGGTTCATCTCTGTGGGATGAATGATGAATGCATATATCAAAAAGATGTTTCTCAGAAAGCTTCTATCTTGTTTTTATGTGAATGTGTTTCCTTTTTCACCATGGGCCTCAAAGTGCTCAAAAATATCCCTTTGCAGATCCCAAAAAAAGACTGTTTTCAAACTGCTGAGTGAAAGGAATGGTTCAACTCTATGAGATGAATGCACACATCACAAAGAAGTTTCTCACAAACCTTCTTTATAGTTTTTATGTGAAGATATTACCTTTTAACCATAGAACTCAAAGCACTCACAAATATACCTTTGCAGATTCTACAAAAAGACAGTTTCCCAACTGCTCAATCAAAAGAATTGTTGAACTCTGTGAGATGAATGCATACATCACAAAGCAGTTTCTCAGAATTCTTTAGTCTAGTTTTTATGTGAAGATATTTTCTCTTTCACCATAGGCCTCAAAGTGCTCAGAAATATCCCTTTACAGATTCCACAAAAAGACATTTCCAAACTGCTCAATCAAAAGAAAGTTTCAATTTTGTGAGATAAATGCACACATCACCAAGAAGTTTCTCAGTATGCTTCTGTCTAGTTTTTATGTGAAGACAATTCCTTTTTCACCATAGGGCTCTATGCACTCACAAATACCCCTTAGCAGATTCTAAAACAACAGAGTTTCCCAAATGATCAAAGAAAAGAATCGTTTACCTCTGTGAGATGAACACAGACATCACAAAACTGTTTCTCAGAAAACTTCTTTATAGTTTTCTGTGAAGATACCACTTTTTCTGCATAGGCCTCAAAGTGCTCACAAATATCCGTTTGCAGATTCTGCAAAAATACTGTTTCCAAACTGCTGAATCAAAAGAGAGGTTCAAAACTGTGAGATGAATGCACATATCACAAAGAAGTATTTCAGAAACTTTCCTTATACTTTGTAGGTGAAGATATTTCCTTTGGCAACATAGGCCTCAAAGTGATCAAAAATAACCCTTTTCAGATTGTACAAGAACAGAGTTCCCAGCCTGATCAAAGAAAAGAAATGCTTACTTCTGTGAGATGAATGCACACATCACAAGGCTGTTTTTAGGAAACCTGCTTCACAGTTGTTCTGTGAAGATACTTCCTTTCCCACCATAGGCCTCACAGCATTCCAAATATCCACTTGCAGATTCTACAAAAAGAGTGTTTCCAAACTGCTCAATCAAAGGAAAGGTTGAACTCTGTGAGATGAATGCAAACATCACAAAGAAGTTTCTCATAATGCTTCTGTCTAATTTTTATGTTAAGGTATTTCCTTTTCCACCATAGGCATCAAAGTGCTCCAAATATCCACAAGCAGATACGACAAAAAGACTGTTTCCAAACTGCTCAATCAAAAGTGTGGTTCAACTCTCTCAGATGAATACACACATCACTAAGAATTTTCTCAGAATGCTTCTGTCTAGTTTATATATGAAGATATTTCCTTTCCCAACATAGGCATCAAATCACCTCAAATATTCACTTGCAGATTCTACAAAAAGAGGATTTCAAAACTGGTCAATCAAAAGAAAGTTGGAACTCAGTGAGATGAATGCACACATCACAAAGAAGTTTCTCAGAATGCTTCTATCTAGTTTTTATGTGAAGATATTTCCTTTTCCACTCTAGGCCGCAAAGCGCTCCATATATGCAATTGCAGATCCTGCAAACAGACAGTTTCAAAACTGCTCAATCAAAAGAAAGGTTCAAGTCTGTGAGTTCAATGCACACATCACAAAGAAGTTTCTCAGAAGGCTTCTGTCTCGTTTTTATGTGGAGATATTTCCTTTTCCAACATTGGGCTAAAAGCGACACAAATATCCACTTGCAGATTCTACAAAAAGAGTATTTCAAAAATGCTCAATCAAAAGAAAGGCTCAACACTGTGAGATGAATGCACACATCACAAAGCAGTTTCTCAGAATGCTTCTGTCGAGTTTTTATGTGAAGATATTTCCTTTTCCACTAGAGTCCACAAAGCACTCCAGATATCCAATTTCAGATTCTACAAAAAGAGTGTTTAAAAACTGCTCAAACAAAAGAAAGTTTCAACTCTGTGAGTTGAGTGCACACAGCACAAATAAGTTTCTCAGATTGTTTCTGTCTAGATTTTATGTGAAGATATTCCCTTTTCCACCATAGGCCCCAAAGCGCACCAAATATCCACTTGCAGATTCTACAAAAAGTATGTTTCAAAACTCCTCAATCAAAAGAAAGGTTCAACTCTGTTAGGTGAATGCATACATCACAAAGAAGTTTCTCAGAATGCTTCTGTCTAGTTTTTATGTGAAGACAATTCCTTTTTCACCATAGGGCTCTATGCACTCACAAATACCCCTTAGCAGATTCTAAAACAACAGAGTTTCCCAAATGATCAAAGAAAAGAATCGTTTACCTCTGTGAGATGAACACAGACATCACAAAACTGTTTCTCAGAAAACTTCTTTATAGTTTTCTGTGAAGATACCACTTTTTCTGCATAGGCCTCAAAGTGCTCACAAATATCCGTTTGCAGATTCTGCAAAAATACTGTTTCCAAACTGCTGAATCAAAAGAGAGGTTCAAAACTGTGAGATGAATGCACATATCACAAAGAAGTATTTCAGAAACTTTCCTTATACTTTGTAGGTGAAGATATTTCCTTTGGCAACATAGGCCTCAAAGTGATCAAAAATAACCCTTTTCAGATTGTACAAGAACAGAGTTCCCAGCCTGATCAAAGAAAAGAAATGCTTACTTCTGTGAGATGAATGCACACATCACAAGGCTGTTTTTAGGAAACCTGCTTCACAGTTGTTCTGTGAAGATACTTCCTTTCCCACCATAGGCCTCACAGCATTCCAAATATCCACTTGCAGATTCTACAAAAAGAGTGTTTCCAAACTGCTCAATCAAAGGAAAGGTTGAACTCTGTGAGATGAATGCAAACATCACAAAGAAGTTTCTCATAATGCTTCTGTCTAATTTTTATGTTAAGGTATTTCCTTTTCCACCATAGGCATCAAAGTGCTCCAAATATCCACAAGCAGATACGACAAAAAGACTGTTTCCAAACTGCTCAATCAAAAGTGTGGTTCAACTCTCTCAGATGAATACACACATCACTAAGAATTTTCTCAGAATGCTTCTGTCTAGTTTATATATGAAGATATTTCCTTTCCCAACATAGGCATCAAATCACCTCAAATATTCACTTGCAGATTCTACAAAAAGAGGATTTCAAAACTGGTCAATCAAAAGAAAGTTGGAACTCAGTGAGATGAATGCACACATCACAAAGAAGTTTCTCAGAATGCTTCTATCTAGTTTTTATGTGAAGATATTTCCTTTTCCACTCTAGGCCGCAAAGCGCTCCATATATGCAATTGCAGATCCTGCAAACAGACAGTTTCAAAACTGCTCAATCAAAAGAAAGGTTCAAGTCTGTGAGTTCAATGCACACATCACAAAGAAGTTTCTCAGAAGGCTTCTGTCTCGTTTTTATGTGGAGATATTTCCTTTTCCAACATTGGGCTAAAAGCGACACAAATATCCACTTGCAGATTCTACAAAAAGAGTATTTCAAAAATGCTCAATCAAAAGAAAGGCTCAACACTGTGAGATGAATGCACACATCACAAAGCAGTTTCTCAGAATGCTTCTGTCGAGTTTTTATGTGAAGATATTTCCTTTTCCACTAGAGTCCACAAAGCACTCCAGATATCCAATTTCAGATTCTACAAAAAGAGTGTTTAAAAACTGCTCAAACAAAAGAAAGTTTCAACTCTGTGAGTTGAGTGCACACAGCACAAATAAGTTTCTCAGATTGTTTCTGTCTAGATTTTATGTGAAGATATTCCCTTTTCCACCATAGGCCCCAAAGCGCACCAAATATCCACTTGCAGATTCTACAAAAAGTATGTTTCAAAACTCCTCAATCAAAAGAAAGGTTCAACTCTGTTAGGTGAATGCATACATCACAAAGAAGTTTCTCAGAATGCTTCTGTCTAGTTTTTATGTGAAGATATTTCCTTTTCCACTAGAGGCTGCCAAGTGCCAAAATATCCACTTGCAGATACTACAACAAGAGTGTATCAAAACTGCTCAATCAAAAGAAATGTTCAACTCTTTGAGGTAATGCACACATCACAAAGAAGTTTCTCAGAATGCTTCTGTCTAATTTTTATATGAAGATGGTTCCTTTTCCACCATAGGCCTTAAAACACTCCAAATATCGAATTGCAGATACCACAATAAGACTATTCCCAAACTGCTCAAACAAAACAGGTGTTCAACTCTGTGAGTTGAATGCACACATAACAAAGAAGTTTCTCAGAATCCTTCTGTCTAGTTTTTATGTGAAGATATTTCCTTTTCCATCGTAGTCCAACAATCGCTCCAAATATCCACTTGCAGATTGTACAAAAAGAGTGTTTCAAAACTGCTGAATCAAAACAAAGGTTCAACTCTGTGAGATGAATGCAAACATCACAAAGAAGTTTCTCAGAAAGATTTTGTCTAATTTTTATGTTAAGGTATTTCCTTTTCCACCATAGGCCTCAAATCATTCCAAATATCCACTTGCAGATTCTACAAAAAGAGTGTTTCAAAACTTCTCAATCAAAAGAAAAGTTCAATTCTGTGATAGGAATGCACACATCACAATGAAGTTTCTCAGAATGCTTCTGTGTAGTTTTTATGTGAAGATATTTCCTTTTGAACGTAGCCCTCAAAGCACTAAAATATACAATTGCAGATTCTACAAAAAGAGTGTTTCAAAATTGCTGAGTCAAAAGAAACGTTCAATTCAGTGAGATGAATGCACCCATCAAAAAGAAGTTTCTCAGAATGCTTCTGTCTAGTTTTTATGTGAAGCTATTTCCGTTTCCAGTAGAGGCCACAAAGTGCTCCAAATATCCACTTGAAGATTCTATAAAAAGAGGGTTTCAAAACTGCTCAATGAAAAGAAAGGTTTAACTATGTGAGGTCAATGCACATATCACAAAGAAGTTTTTCAGAATGCTTCTCTGTAGTTCTTATGTGAAGATATTTCCTTTTCCACCATGAGCCTCAAAGCACTCCAAATATACATTTGCAGATACTAGAGAAACACTGTTTCCAAACTGCTCAATCAAAAGAAAGTTTCAACTCTGAGAGTTGAATACATACATCACAAAGAAGTTTCTCAGAATTCTCTGTGGTTTTTATGTGAAGTTATTTCCTTTTCCACCATAGGCCTCAAAGCGCTCCAAGAATTCAATTGCAGATTCTACAAAAAGCCTTTTTCCAAACTGCTCAATCAATAGAAAGGTTCAACTCTGTGAGTTGAATGCACATATCACAAAGAATTTTCTCAGAATGCTTCTGTCTAGTTTTTAAGTGAAGATAGTTCCTTTTTCACCTTAGGCCTCAAAGCACTCAAATATCCATTGCAGATTCTACAAAAAGTGTGTTTCAAAACTGCTCAATCCAAAAAAAGGTTTAACTCTGTGAGTTGAATGCACACGTCACAAAGAAGTTTCTCAGAATGATTCTGTCTAGGTTTTATGTGAATATATTACCTTTTCCACTTTAGGCCACAAAGCTCTGCAAATATCCACTTGAAGATTCTACAAAAAGAGTGTTTCAAAACTGTTTAATGAAAAGAAATTTCAACACTGTGAGATGAATGCACACATCACAAAGAAGTTTCTCAGAATGCTTCCATCTAGTTTTTATGTGAAGATATTTCCTTTTCCACCATAGGCTGCAAAGTGCTCCAAATATCCACATGCAGATACTACAAAAAGACTGTTTCCAAACTGGTCAATAAAAAGAGTAGTTCAACTCTTCCAGATGAATGCAAACATCACGAAGTTTCTCAGAATGCTTCTGTCAAGATTTTATGTGAAGATATTTCCTTTTCAAATATAGGCCTCTAAGTGCTCCTAATATACATTTGTAGATGCTACAAAAAGAAAGTTTCCAAACTGCTCAATAAAAAGATAGGTCCAACTCTGTGTGCTGAATGCACACATCTCAAAGAAGTTTCTCAGAATGCTTCTCTCTAGTTTTTATGTGAAGATGTTTCCTTTTCCACCAGCGGCTGCAAAGCACTCCAAATATCCATTTGCAGATTCTACAAAAAGACTGTTTCCAAACTGCTCAATCAAAAGTAAGTTTCAGCTCTGTAAGAAGAAGGCACACATCACAGAGAAGTTTCTCAGAACGTTCCTGTCTTGTTTTTATGTGAAATTACTTTTAGTTTCCCTAGAGGCCACAAAAGGGCTCAGAAATATCCCTTTGCAGATTCTACAAAATGACTGATTGAAAACTGCTCAATCTAAAGAACGGTTCAACTCTGTGAGATGAATGCACACATCAAAAAGAAGTTTCCCAGAATGCTTCTGTCTAGTTTTTTATGGAAAGATATTTCCGTTTCCACCACAGGACTCAAAGCACTCCAAATATCCAATTGCAGATCCCACAAAAAGAGTGTTTCAAAACTGCTCAATCAAAAGAAAGTTTCAACACTGAGATGAATGCACACATCACAAAGAAGTTTCTCAGAATGCTTCTGTCCACTTTTTATGTGACGACATTTAATTTTACACCATAGACCTCAAAGCACTCCAAATATCCACTTGCAAATCCTACAAAAAGTGTGTTTCAAAACTGCTTAATTAAAAGAAAGTTTCAACTCTGTGAGATGAATGCACACATCACCAAGAAGTTTTTCAGAATGCTTCTGTCTAGTGTTTATGTGAAGATATTTCCTTTTCCAATAAAGGTCACAAATGATGTAAAATATCCACTTGCAGATTCTACAAAAAGGGTGTTTAAAAACTGCTCAATCAAAAGAAAGGTTAAACGTTATGAGTTGAATTCACCCATCACAAACAAGGTTCTCAGAATGCTTCTGTCTAGTTTTTATATGAATATATTTCCTTTTCCACCATAGGCCTCAAAGTGCTCCAAATATCCACTTGCAGATTCTACAAAAACAGTGTTTACAAACTGCTCAGTCAAAAGAAAGTTTCAACACTGTGAGATGATTGCACACACCACAAAGAAGTTTCTCAGAATGCTTCTATGTAGTTTTTATATGACGGTATTTCCTTTTCCACAACAGGCCTGAAAGCAATCCAAGTATCCACTTCCAGATTCTACAAAAAAAGTTTTTCTGCCCAGTCAAAAGAAAGGCTCAACTGTGAGAGATGAATGCACACATCACAAAGAAGTTTTTCAGAATACTTCTGCATAATTTTTATGTGAAGATAATTCCTTTTCCACCGTAGGCATCAAAGGGCTCCCAATTTCCACCTACAGATTCTACAAAAAGAGAGATTCAAAACTGCTGAATCAACAGATATGTTCAACTCTGTGAGTTGAATGCAGACATGACAAAGAAGTTTTTCAGAATGCTTCTGTCTAGTGTTTATGTGAAGATATTTCCATTTCCAATATAGTCCTCGAAGTGCTCCAAATATCCAATTGTAGATTCTAAAAAAAGGGTGTTTCAGAACTGTTCAATGAAATCAAATGTTCAACACTGTGAGATGAATGCGCACATCACAAAGAAGTTTCTCAGAATGCTTCTGTGTAGTTTTTATGTGAAGATATTTCCTTTTCCAGCATAGGCCTCAAAGCACTCCAAATATCCACTTGCAGATTGTACAAAAAGAGTGTTTCAAAACTGCTGAATCAATAGAAAGGTTCAACTCTGTGAGATGAATGCACACATCACAAAGAAGTTTCTCAGAATGCCTCTGTATAGTTTTTATGTGAAGATATTTCCTTTTCCACAATAGGCCTCAAAGCGCTTCAAATATCCACTTGCAGATTCTACAAAAAGAGTGTTTCAGAACTGCTCAATCAAAAGAAAGTTTCAACTCCGTGAGATGAATGCACACATCACAAAGAAGCTTCTCAGAATGCTTCTGTGTAGTTTTTATGTGAAGATATTTCCTTTTCCAAAACAGGCTGCAAAGAGCTCCTAATATCCACTTGTAGATTCTACAAAAAGAGAGATTCAAAACTGCTCAATCAAAAGATAGGTTCAACTCTGTGAGTTGAATGCTCGCATCACAAAGAAGTTTCTCAGAATGCTTCTGTCTGTTTTTTATGGGAAGATATTTCCGTTTCCACCATAGGCTTCAAAGTGCTCCAAATATCCACTTGCAGATTCTACAAAAAGAGTGTTTCCAAACTGCTCAATCAAAAGAAAAGTTCAACACTGTGAGATGAATGCACACATCACAAAGTAGTTTCTCAGAATGCTCCTATGTAGTTTTTATCTGAAGATATTTCCTTTTCCACTATAGGCCTCAAAGTGCTCCAAATATCCAATTGCAGATTCTACAAAAAGAGAGTTTCAGAACTGCTCAATCAATACGAAGGTTCAACTCTGTGAGATGAATGCACACATCAAGAAGAAGTTTCTCAGAATGCTTCTGTCTACTTTTTATGTGAAGATATTTCCTTTTCCACCATAGGCCTCAAAGTGCTTCAAACATCCACTTGCAGATCCTACAAAAAGAATGTTTCAAAAGTGCTCAATCAAAAGAAAGTTTCAACTCTGTGAGATGAGTGCACACATCACAAAGATGTTTCTCAGAATGCTTCTGTGTAGTTTTTATGTGAAGATATTTCCTTTTCCACGATAGGCCTCAAAACGCTCTAAATATCCAAATGCAGATTCTACAAAAAGAGAGATTCAAAACTGCTCAATCAAAATGAAGGTTCAACTCTGTTAGATGAATGCCCACATCCCAAAGAAGTTTCTCAGAATGCTTCTGTGTACTTTTTATGTGAAGATATTTCCTTTTCCACAACAGACCTCAAAGCGCCTCAAATATCTACTTACAGATTCTTCCAAAAGAGTATTTCCAAAGTGCTCAATCAAAAGAAAGGTTCAATTCCGTGAGATGAATGCACATATCACAGAGAAGTTTCTCAGAATGCTTCTATGTACTTTTTATTTGAAGATATTTCCTATTCCACAGTGGTCCTCTAAGCTCCCCAAATATCCATTTGCAGATTCTACAAAAAGAGTGTTTCAAGACTGCTCAATCAAAAGAAAGGTTCAACTCTGTTAGGTGAATGCACACAACACAAAGAAGTTTCTGAGAATCCTTCTGTGGGCTTTTTATGTGAAGATATTTCCTTTTCCACCATACGCCACAAAGGGCTGAAAATATGCACTTGCAGATTCTACAAAAAGAGAGTTTCAAAACTGGTCTATCAAAAGATAGGTTCAGGTATGTGGGTGGAATGGACACATCACAAAGAACTTTCTCAAAATGCTTCTGTGTAGTTTTTTTCTGAAGATATTTCCTTTTCAACAATAGGCCTCAAAGTGCCCCAAGTATCCACTTGCAGATTCTACAAAAAGATAGATTAAAAAGTGCTCAATCCAAACATAGGTTCAATTCTGTAAGATGAATGCACACATCACAAAGAAGTTTCTCAGAATGCTTCTTCTGTATATTATTTATGTGAAGATATTTCTTTTCCACAGTAGGTCTCAAAGTGCTCCAAATATCCACTTGCAGATTCTACAAAAAGAGTGTTTCAAAACTGCTCAATCAAAACGAAGGTTCAGGCTGGGTGCGGTGGCTCCTGCCTGTAATCCCAGCACTTTGGGAGGCCGAGGTGGGTGGATCACGAGGTCAGCAGATCGAGACCATCCTGGGTAACACGGTGAAACCCCGTCACTACTAAAAATACAAAAAGTTAGCCGGGCTTGGTGGCAGGCGCCTGTAGTCCCAGCTACTCGGGAAGCTGAGGAAGGAGAATGGTGGGAACCCGGGAGGCGGAGCTTGCAGTGAGCCGAGATCTCACCACTGCACTCCAGCCTGGGCCACAGAGCGAGACTCCGGTCAAAAAAAAAAAAAAAAAAAAAAAAAAAAAAAAAACGAAGGTTCAACACTGTGAGATGAATGCACACATCAAAAAGAAGTTTCTCAGAATGCTTCTGTGTAGTTTTATGTGAACATATTTCCCTTTCCACAATAGGCCTCACAGGGCTTCAAATATCCACTTCCAGATTCTATAAAAAACAGCGTTTCATAACTGCTCAATCAAAAGAAACTTTCAACTCTGTGAGATGAATTTATACATCAGAAAGTAGTTTCTCAAAATGCTTCTGTGTAATTTTTATGTGAAGATATTTCCTTTTCTACCATAAGCCACAAAGGGCTCCAAATATCCACTTGCATATACTACAAAAAGAGAGTTTCAAAAATGCTCTATCAAAAGAAAGGTTCAAGACTGTGAGTTGAATGCACGCATCACAAAGAAGTTTCTCAGAATGCTTCTGTATATTTTTTATGTGAAGATATTTCCTTTTCCACAGTAGGCCTCAAAGTGCTCCAAATATCCACTTGCAGATTCTACAAAAAGAGTGTTTCAAAACTGCTCAATCAAAAGAAAGATTCAACTCTGTGAGAAGAATGCACACATCACAAAGAAGTTTCTCAGAATGCTTCTGTGTAGTTTTTATGTGAAGATATTCCCTTTTCCACCATAGGCCACAAAGGGCTCCAAATATACACTTGCAGATTCTACACAAAGAGAGTTTCAAAGCTGCTCTATCGAAAGATAGGTTCAGTTCTGTGATTTCAATGCACATATAACAAAGAAGTTTCTAAGAGTGCTTCTGTGTAGTTTTTATATGAAGATACTTCCTTTTCCAAAATAGGCTGCAAAGGGCTTCAAATAACCACTTGGAGATACTAAAAAAAGAGAGATTCAAAACTGCTAAATCAAAGGATAGGTTCAACTATTGGAGTTGAATGCGCACATCACAAAGAAGTTTCTCAGAATGCTTCTGTGTAGTTTTTATGTGAAGATATTTCTTTTTCCACTATAAGGCTCAAAACACTCCAAATATCCACCTGCAGATTCTACAGAAAGAGTGTTTCCAAACTGCTCAATGATAAGATAGGTTCAAATCTGTGAGATGAATGCACACATCACAAAGAAGTTTCTCAGAATGCTTCTGTGTAGTTTTTATTATTATTATTATTATACCTTAAGTTTTAGGGTACATGTGCACAATGTGCAGGTTAGTTACATATGTATACATGTGCCATGCTGGTGTGCTGCAACCATTAACTCGTCATTTAGCATTAGGTATATCTCCTAAAGCTCTCCCTACCCCCTCACCCCACCCCATAACAATCCCTAGAGTGTGATGTTCCACTTCCTGTGTCCATGTGTTCTCATTGTTCAATTCCCACCTATGAGTGAGAATATTCAGTGTTTGGTTTTTTGTTCTTGCGATAGTTTACTGAGAATGATGATTTCCAATTTCATCCATGTCCGTACATAGGACATGAACTCATCTTTTTTTATGGCTGGGTAGTATTCCATGTTGTATATGTGCCATATTTTCTTAATCTAGTCTATTATTGTTGGACATTTAGGATGGTTCCAAGTCTTTGCTATTCTGAATAGTGCCACAATAAACATACATGTGCATGTGTCTTTATAGCAGCATGATTTATAGTCCTTTTGGTATATACCCAGTAATGGGATGGCTGGGTCAAATGGTATTTCTAGTTCTAGATCCCTGAGGAATCACCACACTGACTTCCACAATGGTTGAACTAGTTTACAGTCCCACCAACAGTGTAAAAGTGTTCCTATTTCTCCACATCTTCTCCAGCATCTGTTGTTTCCTGATTTTTTAATGATTGCCATTCTAAGTGGTGTGAGATGGTATCGCATTGTGGTTTTGATTTACATTTCTCTGATAGCCAGTGATGGTGAGCATTTTTTCATGTGTTTTTTGGCTGCATAAATGTCTTCTTCTGAGAAGTGTCTGTTCATGTCCTTCACCCACTTTTTGATGGGGTTGTTTGTTTTTTTCCTGTAAATTTGTTTGAGTTTATTGTAGATTCTGGATATTAGCCCTCTGTCAGATGAGTAGATTGCGAAAATTTTCTCCCATTTTGTAGGTTGCCTGTTCACCCTGATGGTAGTTTCTTTTGCTGTGCAGAAGCTCTAGTTTAATTAGATCCCATATGTCAATTTTGGCTTTTGTTTCCATTGCTTTTGGTGTTTTAGACATGAAGTCTTTTCCTATGGTTATGTCCTGAATGGTAATGCCTAGGTTTTCTTCCAGGGTTTTTATCGTTTTAGGTCTAATGTTTAAGTCTTTAATCTGTCTTGAGTTAATTTTTGTATAATCTGTAAGAAAGGGATCCAGTTTCTGCTTTCTACCTATGGCTAACCATTTTTCCCAGCATCATTTATTAAATAGGGAATCCTTTCCCCATCGCTTGTTTTTCTCAGGTTTGTCAAAGATCAGACAGTTGTAGACATGCAGCGTTATTTCTAAGGGCTCTGTTCTGTTCCATTGATCTATATCTCTGTTTTGGTAGCAGTACCACGCTTCTGTATAGTTTTTATGTGAAGTTAATACCTTTTCCACCTTAGGCCAAGAACGGCTCCAAATATCCACTTGCAAATGCTACAAAAAGACAGTTTCAAAACTGCTCTGTCAAAAGATAGGTTCAACTCTGTGAGTTGAATGCACACATCACAAATAAGTTTCTCAGAATGCTTCTGTGTAGTTTTTATGTGAAGCTATTTCCTTTTCTACAATAGGCCTAAAAGCACTCCAAATGTCCACTTGCAGATTCTACAAAAAGAGTATTTCAAAACTGTTCAATCAAAAGAGAGGTTGAACTCTGTGAGATGAATGCACACATCAAAAACAAGTTTCTCAGAATGCTTTTGTGAATTTTCTATTCAAAGATATTTCCTTTTCCACAGTAGACCTTGATGCAATCCAAATATCCACTTGCAAATTCTACAAAAAGGGTGTTTCCAAACTGCTCAATCCAATGAAAGTTTCAACTCTATGAGATGAATGCACACATCAAAAAGGAGTTTCTCAGAATGCTTCTGTGTAGTTATTAGGTGAAGATGTTTCCTTTTCAAAAATAGGCCACAAAGGGCTCCAAATATCCACTTGCAGATTCTACACAAAGAGAGATTCAAAACTGTTCAATCAAATGACAGGTTCAACTCTGTGAGTTGAATGTACACATCACACAGAAGTTTCTCAGAATAGTTCTGTGTAGTTTTCTTGTGAAGATATTTCCTTTTCCACTACGGGCCTCAAAGCGCTCCAAATATCCACTTGCAGATTCTACAAAAAGAGTGTTTCCAAACTGGTCAATCCAAAGAAAGGTTCAACTCCGTGACAGGAATGCACACATCCAAAGACGTTTCTCAGAATTCTTCTGTGTAGTTTCTATGTGAAGATATTTCCTTTTCCAAAATAGGTCTCAAAGTGCTACAAATATCCACCTGCAAGTTCTACAAAAAGTCTATTTCAAAACGACTCAAACAAAAGACAGGTTCTACTCTCTGAGATGAAAGCACACATCACAAAGACGTTTCTCAGAATCCTTCCGTGTAGTTTTTATGTGAAAGTATTTCCTTTTCCACTATAGGCATCAAAGCGCTTCAAATATCCACTTGCAGATTTTATAAAAAGAGTATTTCAAAACTGCTCAATGAAAAGAAAGTTTAAACTCTGTAAGATGAATGCACACATCACAAAGAAGTTTCTCAGAATGCTTCTGTGTTTTTTTTATGTGAAGATATTTCCTTTTCCACAATAGTCCTTGATGCGATCCAAATATCCACTTGCAAATTCTACAAAAAGGGTGTTTCAAAACTGCTCAATCAAAGTAAATTTTCAACTCTATGAGATGCGTGCACACATCACAAGGAAAATTCTCAGAATGCTTCTGTGTAGTTTTTTTTTTTTTTTTTTTTTTTTTTTTTTTTTTTTTTTTTGAGACGGAGTCTCGCTCTGTCGCCCAGGTCAGACTGCGGACTGCAGTGGCGCAATCTCGGCTCACTGCAAGCTCCGCTTCCCGGGTTCACGCCATTCTCCTGCCTCAGCCTCCCGAGTAGCTGGGACTACAGGCGCCCGCCACCGCGCCCGGCTAATTTTTTGTATTTTTAGTAGAGACGGGGTTTCACCTTGTTAGCCAGGATGGTCTCGATCTCCTGACCTCATGATCCACCCGCCTCGGCCTCCCAAAGTGCTGGGATTACAGGCGTGAGCCACCGCGCCCGGCCCTGTGTAGTTTTTATGTGAAGATATTTCCTTTTCAATAATAGGCCGCTAAGGGCTGCAAATATCCACTTGCAGATTCTACAAAAAGAGAGATTCAAAACTGTTCAATCAAATGACAGGTTCAACCCTGTGAGTTGAATGCACACGTCATGCAGAACTTTCTCAGAATGCTTCTGTGTAGTTTTTATGTGAAGATATTTCCTTTTTCACCATAGGCCTCAAAGCGCTCCAAATATCCACTTGCAGATTCTACAAAAAGAGTGTTTCCAAACTGCTCCATCAAAAGAGAGGTTCAACTCTGTGAGATGAATGCACACCTCACAAAGAAGTTTCTCAGAATGCTTCTTTGTAGTTTTTATGTGAAGATATTTCCTTTTCCGCAAAACGCCTCAAAGCACTCCAAATATCCCCTTGCAGATTCTACAAAAAGAGTGTTTCAAAACTGCTGAATAAAATGAAAAGCTCAACTCTGTGGGATGAATTCACACATCACAAAGATGTTTCTCAGAATGCTTCTGTGTAGTTTTTATTTGAAGGTATTTTCTTTTCCATCCCAGCCCATGAAGGGCTGCATGTAACCACTTGAAGATGCTACAAAAAGAGAGTTTTGAAACTGCTCCATCAAAAGATAGGTTCAAATCTGTGAGTTGAATGCAGACATTGCAAAGAAGTATCTTGGTATTCTTCTGTGTAGTTTTTATGTGAAGATATTTCTTTTTCCACCATAGTCGTCAAATTGCTTCGAATATCCACTTGCAGATTCCACAAAAAGAGTGTTTCAAAAGTGAACAATCAAAAGAGAGGTTGAACTCTGTGAGATGAATGCACAGATCACAAACAAGTTTCTCAGAATGCTTCTGTGTACTTTTTTGTTTTAATGAAAAAATTTTTATTTAGTGTTCTAATAGAATTTACTTTTATTAAAAATCTTTTTTTTTGAGCTTTCTGTTTTTTTATTATACTTTAAGTTTTAGGGTACATGTGCACACTGTGCAGGTTAGTTACATATGTATACATGTGCCATGCTGGTGCGCTGCACCCACTAACTCGTCATCTAGCATTAGGTATATCTCCCGATGCTATCCCTCCCCCCTTCCCCCACCCCACCAGAGTCCCCAGAGTGTGATATTCCCCTTCCTGTGTCCATGTGATCTCATTGTTCAATTCCCACCTATGAGTGAGAATATGCGGTGTTTGTTTTTTTGTTCTTGAGATAGTTTACTGAGAATGATGATTTCCAATTTCATCCATGTCCCTACAAAGGACATGAACTCATCATTTTTTATGGCTGCATAGTATTCCATAGTGTATATGTGCCACATTTTCTTAATCCAGTCTATCATTGTTGGACATTTGGGTTGGTTCCAAGTCTTTGCTATTGTGAATAATGCTGCAATAAACATACGTGTGCATTTATCTTTATAGCAGCATGATTTATAAACCTTTGGGTATATACCCAGTAATAGGATGGCTGGGTCAAATAGTATTTCTAGTTCTAGATCCCTGAGGAATCACCACTGATCTTTGACAAACCTGAGAAAAACAAGCAATGGAGAAAGGATTCCCTATTTAATAAATGGTGCTGGGAAAACTGGCTAGCCATATGTAGAAAGCTGAAACTGGATCCCTTCCTTACACCTTATACAAAAATCAATTCAAGATGGATTAAAGACTTAAACGTTAGAGCTAAAACCATAAAAACCCTAGAAGAAAATCTAGGCATTACCATTCAGGACATAGGCATGGACAAGGACTTCATGTCTAAAACACCAAAAGCAATGGCAACAAAAGCCAAAATTGACAAATGAGATCTAATTAAACTAAAGAGCTTCTGTGTGCTTTTTATGTGAACATATTACCTTCTCCACCATAGGCCTCAAAGCGCTCAAAATATCCACTTGCAGATTCTTCAAAAAGAGTGTTTCCAAACTGCTGAATGAAAAGAAATGTTCAACTCTGTGAGATGAATGCACACATCACAAAGAAGATTCTCAGAATGCTTCTGTGTAGTTTTTAAGTGAAGATATTTCCTTTTCCAGCATAGGCCTCAAAGCACTCCAAATATCCACTTGCAGATTCTACAAAAAGAGTGTTTCAAAACTGCTCAATCAAAAGAGAGCTTGTACTCTGTGAGATGAATGCACACATCACTAAGAAGTTTCTCAGAATGCTTCTGTGTAGTTTTTCTATGAAGATATTCCTTTTTCCACCATAGACTTCAAAGGGCTCCAAATATCCACTTGAAGATTCTACAAAAAGAGAGTTTCAAAACTGCTCTATCAAAAGATAGGTTCAACTCTGTGAGTTGAATGCACACATCACAAAGTAGTTTCTCAGAATGCTTCTGGGTAGTTTCTATGTGAAGATATTTCCTTTTCCACCATAGGCCTCAAAGCGCTCCCAATATCCACTTGCCAATCCTACAAAAAGAGTGTTTCCAAACTGCTGAATAAAATGAAAGGCTCAACTCTGTGAGATGAGTTCACACATCACAAAGAAATTTGTCAGAATGCTTCTGTGTAGTTTTTATGTGAAGATATTTCCTTTTTCATCTCAGGCCACAAATGGCTCCATGCATCCAATTGAATATGCTACAAAAAGAGAGTTTTGAAACTGCTCGATCAAAAGGTAAGTTCAAATTTGTGAGTTGAATGCACACTTCACAATGGAGTATCTTGGAATTTTTCTGTGCAGGTTTTTCGTGAAGATATATCCTTTTCCACCATAGGTTTCAAAATTGCTCCGAATATCCACTTGCAGATTCCACAAAAAGAGGGTTTCAAAAGTGCACAATCAAAACAGAGGTTCAACTCTGTGAGATGAATGCACACATCAAAAAGAAGTTTCTCAGAATGCTTCTGTGTACTTTTTATGTGAAGATATTTCCTTTTCCAAAATAGGTCTCAAAGCGCCCCAAATATCCACCTGCAGGTTCTACAAAAAGTCTGTTTCAAACCTGCTCAATCAAAAGACAGGTTCAACTCTCTGAGATGAATGCACACATCACAAAGAAGTTTCTCAGAATGCTTCTGTGTAGTTTTTGTGTGAAGATATTTCCTTTTCCACTCTAGGCATCAAAGGGCTTCATATATCCACTTGCAGATCCTATCAAAAGAGTGTTTCAAAACTGCTCAATCAAAGGAAAGTTTAAACTCTGTGAGATGAATGCACACATCACAAAGGAGTTTCTCAGAATGCTTCTGTGTATTTTTTATGTGAAGATATTTCCTTTTCCACAATAGACCTCGATGTTATCCAAATATCCACTTGCAAATTCTACAAAAAGGGTGTTTCCAAACTGCTCAATCAAATGAAAGTTTCACCTCTATGAGATGAATGCACACATCACAAGGAAGTTTCTCCGAATGCTTCTGTGTAGTTTTTATGTGAAGATATTTCCTTTTCAAAAATAGGCCGCAAAGGGATCCAAATATCCTGTTACATATTCAGCAGAAACAGAAATTCAAAACTGTCCAATCAAACGACAGGCTCAACTCTGTGAGTTGAGTGCACACATCACAAACAAGGTTCTCAGAATGCTTCTGTGTAGTTTTTATGTGAAGATATTTCCTTTTCCACAATAGGCCTCAAAGTGCTGCAAATATCCCCTTGCAGATTCTACAGAAAGTGTGTTTCCAAACTGCTCAATAAAATGAAAGACTCAACTCTGTGAGATGAATTCACATATCACAAAGAAGTTTCTCAGAATGCTTCTGTGTAGTTTTTATGTGAAGATATTTCCTTTTCCATCATAAGCCACAAAGGGCTCCATGTATCCACTTGAAGATGCTACAAAAAGAGAGTTTCAAAACTGCTCAATCAAAAGATAGGTTCAAATTTGTGAGTTGAATGCACACATCACAATGAAGTATCTCGGAATTCTTCTGTGTAGTTTTTATCTCAAGACGTTTCCTTTTCCACAATAGGTGTCAGATTGTTCCCAATATCCACTTGCAGATTCCACAAAAAGAGGGTTTCAAAAGTGCACAATCAAAAGAGAGGTTCAACTCTGTGAGATGAATTCACACATCACAAAGAAGTTTCTTAGAATGCTTCTGTGTACTTTTTATGTGAAGATATTTCCTTCTCCACCATAGGCCTCAAAGGGCTCCAATTATCCACTTGCAGATTCTTCAAAAACAGTGTTTCAAAGCTGATCCATCAAAAGAAAGGCTCAACTCTGTGAGATGAATGCACACATCATATAGAAGATTCTCAGAATGCTTCTGTGTAGTTTTTATGTGAAGATATTGCCTTTTCCAGCATAGGCCTCAAATCGCTGAAAATATCCACTTGCAGATTCTAGAAAAAGAGTGTTTCCAAACTGCTCAATGAAAACAAAGGTTCTACTCTGTGGGAGGAATGCACACATTGCAAAGAAGTTTCTCTGAATACTTCTGTGTAGTTTTTTTGTGAATATATTTCCTTTTCTACCATAGGCATTAAAGCGCTCCAAATATCCACTTGAAGATTCTACAAAAAGAGTATTTCCAAACTGCTTAATCAAAAGAAAAATTCAGCTCTGTGAGATGAATGCACACATCACAAAAAAGATTCTGAGAACGTTTCTGTGTAGTTTTTATGTGAAGATATTTCCTTTTCCACCATAGGCTTCAAAGCACTCCAAATATCCACTTGCAGATTCTACAAAAAGAGAGTTTCAAAATTTCTCTATCAAAGTAGTGATTCAACGCAGTGAGTTGAATGCACACATTACAAAGAAGTTTCTCAGAATGCTTCTGTGTAGTTTTTATGTGAAGATATTTCCTTCACCACCAGAGGCCTGAAAGCGCTCCAAATATCTAAGTTGCAGTTTCTACAAAAGAGTGTTTCAAAACTGCTCAATCAAAAGAAAGTTTCAACTCTTTGAGATGAATGCACACATCACTAAGAAGTTTCTCAGAATTCTTCTGTGTAGTTTTTGTGTGAAGATATTTCCTTTTCCACCACAGGCCGCAAGGGGCTCCAAATAAGCACTTTCAGACTGTACAAAAAGAGAGTTTCCAAACTGCTCTATCAAAAGAAAGGGTCAACTCTGCGAGTTGAATGCACACATAACAAAAGTTTCTCAGAATGCTTCTGTGTAGTTTTTGTGTGAAGATATTTCCTTTTCCACCATAGGCCTCAAAGTGCTTCAAATATCCACTGGCAGATTCTACAAAAAAGAGTGTTGCAAAACTGCTCAATCAAAAGAAATATTCAACTCTGTGAGACGAATCCACACATCACGAAGAAGTTTCTCAGAATTCTTCTGTGTAGTTTTTATCAGAAGATATTTCTTTTACCAGAAAAGGCCTCCAAGATTTCCGAATATCCACTTGCAGATTCTACTAAAAGACTGTTTCCAAACTGCTCAATCAAAAGAACGGTTCAACTCTGTGAGATGAATGCACAAATCACAAGTAAGTTTCTGAGAATGCTTCCGTGTAGTTTTTATGTGAAGATATTTCCTTTTCCACCATAAGCCTCAATGCACTTCAAATATCCACTTACAGATTCTAAAAAAGGCAGTTTCAAAACTGTTCAATCAAACGAAAGTTTCAACTCTGTGAGATGAATGCACAAATCACAAAGAAGTTTCTCAGAATGCTTCAGTGTAGTTTTTAGGGGAGGAGATTTCCTTTTCCACAATTGGCCAAAAAAAGCTCCAAATAACCACTTGCACAGACTGCAAAAAGCGAGTTGCAAAACTGCTCTATCAAAAGATATGTTCAACTCTGCGAGTTGAATGCAAACATCACAAAGAAGTTTCTCAGAATGTTTTTGTGTAGTTTTTATGTGAAGATAGTTCCTTTTCCACCATAGGCCTCTAAGTGCTCCACATATCCACTTGTAGATTCTACAATGAGTGTTTCAAAACTGCTCAATAAAAAGAAAGATTCAACTCTGTGAGATGAATGCACACATCACAAAGAAGTTTCTCAGAATCCTTCTCTGTAGTTTTTATGTGAAGATATTTCCTTTTCCACAATAGGCCTCCAAGGGCTCCAAATATCCACTTGCAGATTCTACTAAAAGAGTGTTTCCAAACTGCTCAATCAAAAGAAAGGTTCAACTCCATGAGATGAATGTGCACATCACAAAGAAGTTTCTGAGAATGCTTCTGTGTAGTTTTTATGGGAAGATATTAAATTTTTCACAATAGGCCTGAAAGCGCTGCAAATATCCACTTGCAGATTCTAGAAAAAGAGTGTTTCAAAACTGCTCAATCATATGAAATGTTCAACTCTGTGAGATGAATGCACACATCACAAAGAAGTTTCACAGAATACTTCTGTGTAGTTTTTATGTGAAGATACTTCCTTTTCCACCATAGGCTGCAAAGGGTTCCAAATATCCACTTACCAATTCTACAAAAAGACGGTTTCGTAACTGCTCTATCAAAAGATAGGTTCAACCCTGTGAGATGACTGTACACATCACAAAGAAGTTTCTCAGAATGCTTCTGTGTAGTTTTTATGTGAAGATATTTCCTTTTCTTCCTTAGGCCTCAAAGCACTACAAATATCCACTTGCAGATTCTACAAAAAGAATGTTTCAAAACTGCTCAATCAAAGAAAGGTACAACTCTATGAGATGAATGCACGCATCACAAAGAAGTTTCTCAGAACGCTTCTGTGTAGGTTTTATGTGAAGAAATTTCCCTTTCCGCAATAGGCCTCAAAGCGCTCCATATATCCACTTGCCGATTCTACAAAAAGAGTTTTTCCAAACTACTCAATGAAAAGAGAGGTTCACCTCTGTGAGATAAATGCACACATCACAAAGCAGATTCCCACAATGCTTTTGTGTAGTTTTTATGTGAAGATATTTCCTTTTCCACCATTGGCCTCAAAGGGCTCCAAATGGCCACTTGCAGATTCTATAAAAAGAGTGTTTCAAAACTGCTCAATCAAATGTAATGTTCAACTCTGTGAGAAGAATGCACACATCACAAGGAAGTTTCTCAGAATACTTCTGTGTAGTTTTTATAGTAAGATATTTCCTTTTTCACCATCTGTCACAAAAGGCTCCAAATAATCACTTGCAGATTCAACAAAAAGAGAGTTTCAAAACTCTTCTATGAAAACATAGGTTCAACTCTGTGAGTTGAATGCACACATCACAAAGCAGTTTCTCAGAATGCTTCTGTGTAGTTTTTATGTGAACATATTTACTTTTCCACCATAGCCCTCAAAGGGCTGCAAATATCCACTTGCAGATTCTGCAAAAAGTGTGATTCAAAACTGCTCAGTAAAAAGAATGTTTCAACTCTGTGAGATGAATGCACACTTCACAAAGGAGTTTCTCAGCATGCTTCTGTTGTGTTTTTCTGTGAAGTCACATCCTTTTCCACCATAGTGATCCATGTGCTCCAAATACCCACTTGCAGATTCTACAAAAAGCGGGTTTCAAAACTGGTCAATCAAAAGAAAGTTTCAACTCTGTGAGATGAATGCACACATCAAAAAGAAGTTTCTCAGAATGCTTCTGTCTTGTTTTTATGTGAAGATATTTCCTTTTCCACCATAGTCCTCAAACCTCTCCAAATATTCATTTGCAGATACCACAAAAACACGGTTTTCAAACTGTGCAATCAAAAGAAAAGTTCAACTCTGTGAGTTAAATGCACACAACACAAATAACTTTCTCAGAATGCTTCTGTGTAGTTTTTAGATAAAGATATATCCTTTTCCACAATAGGCCTCAAAGCGCTCCAAATATCCACTTCCAGATTCTACAAAAAGAGTGTTTCAAAACTGTTCAATCAAAAGAAAGTTTCATCTCTGTGAAATGAATGCACACATCACACAGAAGTTTCTCAGAATGTTTCTGCTAGATTTTATGTGAAGATATTTCTTTTTCCACCATAGGCTGCAAAGCACTCCAAATATCCAATTGCAGCTTCTACAAAAAGAGTGTTTCAAAACTGCTGAATCAAAAGTAAGGTTCAACTCTGTTAGTTGAATACACACATGACAAGGAAGTTTCTCAGAATACTTCTATGTATTTTTTAGACGAAGTTATTCCCTTTTCCACCATAGGCCCCTAATTGCTTCAAATATCCACTAGCAGATAATACAAAAAGTGTGTTTCAAAACTGCTGAATCAAAAGTAAGATTCAGCTCTGTTAGTTGAATACACACATGACAAGGAAGTTTCTCAGAATACGTCTATGTATTTTTTAGATGAAGTTATTCCCTTTTCCACCATAGGCCCCTAATTGCTTCAAATATCCACTAGCAGATTATACAAAAAGTGTGTTTCAAAACTGCTCTATCAAAAGAAAGGTTGAAGCCTGGGAGTTCAATGCACACATCACAAAGAAGTTTCTCAGAATGCTTCTTTCTTGTATTTATGTGAAGACATTTCCTTTTCCACCATAGGCCTGAAACTGCTCATAATATCCATTTGCAGAAACAACAAAAAGAGTGTTTCAAAACTGCTGCCTCTAAAGAAATATTCAGCTCGGTGAACTGAATGCACACATCACAAAGAAGTTTCTCAGAATGCTTCTGTCTAGTTTTTATGTGTAGATATTTAGTTTTACACCATAGGCCTCAAATGGTTCCAAATATCCACTTGCAGATCCTACAAAAAGACGGTTTCCAAACTGCTCAAGCAAAAGAGAGCTTCGAATCGGTCAGTTGAACGCACACATCACAAAGAAGTTTCTCAGAATGCTTCTGTCTAGTTTTTTTGTGAAGATATTTCCTTTTCCACCATAGGCCTCAAAATGCTCCAAATATACACTTGCAGATTCTACAAAAGGTGTGTTTCAAAACTGCTAAATCGAAAGAAAGGTTCAACCCTGTGAGATGATTGCTCACATCACAAAGAAGTTTCTCAGAATGCTTCTGTCTAGTTCTTTCGTGAAGATATTTTCTTTTCTACCATGGGCCTCAAAGCGCTCAAAATATCCACTTGCAGATTGTACAGAAAGCCTGTTTCCAAACTGCTCAATCAAAAGAAAGGTTCAACTCTGTGAGTTGAATGCACACATCATGAAGTAGCTTCTCAGAATGCTTCTGTCAAGTTTTTATGTGAAGATTTTTTTAAAACTGTAGGCATCAAAGTGCTCCAAATATCAACATGCAGATAGTACAAAAAGAGAATTTCCAAACGGCTGAATTATAAGAGAGGTTGAATTCTGTGAGTTTAATGCACACATCACAAAGAAGTTTCTGAGAATGCTTCAGTCTAGTTTTTATGTGAAGATATTTCCTTTTCCACCATAGGCCTCAAAGCACTCCAAATATGCACTCGCAGATTCTACAAAAAGAGTGTTTGAAAACTGCTCAATTAAAATAAAGGTTCAAATCTGTTAGATGAATGCACACATCACAAAGAAGTTTCTCAGAAAACTTCTGTCTAGTTTGTATGTGAAAACATTTCCTTTTCCACTAGAAGTCATAAACTGTTGCAATTATCCAATTGCAGATTCTACAAAAATAGTGTTTCATAACTGCTTAGTCAAAAGAAAGGTTCAACTCCGTTATTAGAATGCATACATCAAAAAGAAGTTTCTAAGAATGCTTCTTTCTAGTTTTTTTGTGAAGATATTTCCTTTTCCAAATTAGGCCACAAATCCCTTCAAATATCCACATGCAGATACTACAAAAAGAGTGTTTCAAAACTGCTCAAGCCAAAGAAAGGTTCTACTGTGGGAGATGAATGCACACATCACAAAGTAGTTTCTCAGAATGCCTCTGTTTAATTTTTATGTGAAGATATTTCCTTTTCCACCATAGGCTGCAAAGGGCTGAAAATATTCACTTGCAGATTCTACAAAAAGAGAGTTTCAAAACTACTCTATCAAAATATAGGTTCAACTCTGTGAGTTGCATGCACACATCACGAAGAAGTTTCTCAGAATGCTTCTGTGAAGTTTTTATGTAAAGATATTTCCTTTTCCACCATAGGCTGTAAAGGACTCCAAATATCCACTTGCAGATTCTACAAAAAAAGAGTTTCAAAACTGCTCTGTCAAAAGATATGTTCAACTCTTCGAGTTGAATGTGCACATCACAAAGAAGTTTCTCAGAATGCTTCTGTGTAGTTTTTATGTGAAGATATGTCCTTTTCCCCCATAGGCCACAAATGGCTCCAAATATCCCCTTGCATATTCTACAAAATAGAGTTTCAAAACTGCTCTATGAAAAGATAGGTTGAACTCTGTGAGTTGAATGCACACATCACAAAACGTTTCTGAGAATGCTTCTGTGTAGTTTTTATGTGAAGATATTTCCTTTTCCACAATTGGCCTCAAACTACTCCAAATATCCATTTGCGCATCCTACAAAAAGAGGGTTTCAAAACTGCTCTATCAAAAGATAGGTTCAACCCTGTGAGTTGAATGGACACATCACAAAGAAGTTTCTCAGAATGCTTTGGTGTAGTTTTTATGTAAAGATATTTCCTTTTCCATCATAGGCCTCAAAGCGCTCCAAATATCCACATGCAGATTCTAGAAAAAGAGTGTTTCCAAACTACTCCATCAAAAGAAAGTTTCAACTCTGTTAGATGAATGCACACATCACAAAGAAGTTTCTCAGAATGCCTCTGGGTAGTTTTTATGTGAAGATATTTCCTTTTCCAACATAGGCCACAAAGGGCTACAAATACCCACTTGCAGATTCTACAAAAAGAGAGTTTCAAAACTGCCCTATCAAAAGATAGGTTCAACCCTGTGAGTTGAATGCACACATCACAAAGAAGTTTCTGAGAAAGTCCCCGTGTAGTTTTTATGTGAAGATATTTCCTTTTCGACCATAGGCCACAAAGCGCTCCAAACATCCACTTGCCGAATATACAAACAGAGTGTTTCAAAATTGCTAAATCAAAAGAAAGGTTCATCTCTGTGAGATGAAGGCACACATCACAAAGAAGTTTCTCAGAATGCTTGTGTATAGTTTTTATGTGAAAATATTTCCTTTTCCACAATAGGCCTCAACGGGCTCCAAAACTCCACTTGCAGATTCTATAAGAAGAGAATTTCAAAACTGCTCTATCAAAGATAGGTTCAACTATGTTAGTTGAATGCACACATCACAAAGAAGTTTCTGAGAATGATGTTGTGTAGTTTTTATGTGAAGATATTTCCTTTTCCACCATAGCCCTCAAAGCACTCCAAATATCCACTTGCAGACTCTGCAAAGGAGTGTTTCCAAACTTCTAAATAAAAAGAAACGTTCACCTCAGTGGGATCAATGCACACATCACAAAGAAGCTTCTCAGAATGCTTCTTTGAAGTTTTAATGTGAAGATATCTCCTTTTCCACCATAGGCCACCAAGGGCTCCAAATATCCACTTGCAGATTATACAAAAAGAGAGTATGAAAACCGCTCTATCAAAAGATAGTTTCAACTCTGCGAGTTGAATGTACACATCACAAAGAAGTTTCTCAGAATGCTTCTGTGTAGTTTTTATGTTAAGATATTTCCTTTTCCACCATAGGCCTCAAAGCGCTCCAAATATCCACTTGCAGATTCTACAAAAAGAGAGTTTCAAAAGTGCTCTATCAAAAGAAATTTTCAAATATGTGAGATGAATGCAAGTATCACAAAGAAGTTTCTCAAATTTTTCTGTGTAGTTTTTATGTGAAGATATTTCCTTTTCCACAATAGGCCTCAAAAGGCTCCAAGTATCCACACACAGATTCTACAAAAAGAGTGTTTCCAAAATGCTCATTCAAAAGAAAGGTTGAAGTCTGAGATGAATACACACATCACAAAGAAGTTTCTGAGAATGCCTCTATGTAGTTTTTATATGAAGATATTTCCTTTTGCACAATAGGCCTCAAAGTGATCCAAATATCCACTGGCAGTTTCTAGAAAATGAGTGTTCCAAAACTGATAAATCAAATGAAATGTTTAACTCTGTGAGATAAATGCACACATCAAAAAGAAGTTTCCCAGAATGCTTCTGTGTAGTTTTTATTGGAAGATATTTCCTTTTCCATTATGGGCTGCAAAGGCCTCCAAATATCCCCTTGCAGATCCTACAAAAAGAGAGTTCCAAAACTGCTCTATCGAAAGAAAGGTTCAACTATGTGAGATGAATGCACACATGAAAAGGAAGTCTATCAGAATGCTTCTGTGTAGTTTTTATGTTAAGATATTTCCTTTTGCAACATAAGCCACAAAGGTCTCCAAATCTCTGCTTGCATATACTAGAAAAAGAGTTTTTCCAAACTGCTCAATCAAAAGAAAGCTTCATATCTGTGAGATGAATGCACACATCACAAAGAAGTTTCTCAGAATGCTTCTGTGTAGTTTTTATGTGAAGATATTTCCTTTCCATCGCAGGCCCAAAGCGCTCCAAATATCCATTTGCAGATTCTACAAAAAGTGTGTTTCAAACCTGCTCAACCAAAAGAAATGTTCAACTCTGTGAGATGAATGCACACATCACAAAAAAGTTTCTGAGAATGCTTCTGTGTGGTTTTATGTGAAGATATGTCTTTTTCAAAAACAGGCCTCAAAGCACTCCCAATATCCACTTGCAGATTCTACAAAAAGAGTGTTTCCAAACTACTCAATTAAAAGAAAAGTTCAACTCTGTGAGATGAATGCACACGTTGCAAAGGCGGTTCCTAGAATGTTTCTGTGTAGTTTTTCTTGGACGATATTTCGTTTTCCACCATAGGCCACAAAGGTTTCCAAACATCCACTTGTACATTCTACAAAAAGAGAGTTTAAAATATGCTTTATCAAAAGATAAGTTCAACTCTGTGAGTTGAATGCACACATCACAAAGAAGTTTCTCAGAATGCTTCTTTGTAGTTTTTAGGTGAAGATATTTCCTTTTCCATGCAGGCCTCAAAGCGCTCCAAATACCCAGTTGTAGATACTACGAAAGGATTGTTTCAAAATTGGTGAATCAAAAGAAATGTTCAACTCTGTGAGATGAATGCACACATCACAAAGGAGTTTCTCAGAATGATTCTGTGTAGTTTTTATGTGGAGATATTTCCTTTTCCACAATAGGCCTCAAAGAGCTCCATATATCCACTTGCAGATTCTACAAAAATTGTGTTTCAAAACTGCTCAATCAAATGAAAGGTTCAGCTCTGTGAGATGAATGAACATATCACAAAGAAGTTTCTCCGAATGCTTCTGTTTAGTTTTTATGGGAAGATATTTCCTTTTCCACCATAGGAGGCAAAGGACTGCAAATATCCACTTGCAGATTCTACAAATAGAGAGTTTCAAAACTGCTCTATGAAAAGATAAGTTCAACTCTGTGAGTTGAATGCACACATCACAAAGTAGTTTCTCAGATTGCTTCTGTGTAGTTTTTATGTGAACATATTTCCTTTTCCACCAAAGGGCTAAAAGGGCTCCAAATATCCACTTGCAGATTCTACAAATAGAGAGTTTCAAAACTGCTCAATCAAAAGATAGGTTCAACTCTGTGAGTTGAATGCACACATCACAAATTTGTTTCTCAGAAGGCTTCTGTGTAGTTTTTATGTGAAGATATTTCGCTTTCCACCATAGGCCTGAAAGTGATCCAAATATACTCTGGCAGATTCTGCAAAAACTGTTTCCAAACTGCTCAATCAAAAGAAAGGTTCAACTCTGTGAGATGAAACCGTCCATTGCAAAGAAGTTTCTCCGAATGTTTCTGTGTAGTTTCTATGGGAAAATATTTCCTTTTCTGCCATCTGCCTCAAAGGGCCCCAAATATCCACTTGTGGATTCTACAAAAAGAGTGTTTCCAAACTGCTCAATCAAAGCAACGGTTCAACTCAGTGAGATGAATGCACACATCACAAAGAAGTCTCTCAGAAGGCGTCTGTGTAGTTTTTATATGAAGATATTTACTTTTCCACAATAAGCCTCAAAGCACTCCAAATATGCACTTGCAGATTTTACAAAAAGAGTGTTTAAAGATGGCTTAATCAAAAGAAAGCTTCAACTCTGTGAGATGAATGCACACATCACAAAGAAGTTTCTCAGGATGTTTCTTTCTAGTTTTTATTGGAAGATATTTCCTTTTCCAACATAGGCCACAAAGGGCTTCAAATATCCACTTGCGGATTCTACAAAAAGAGAGTATGCAAACTGCTGATTCAAAACAAAGGTTCAACTCCGTGCAATGAATGCACTCATCACAAAGAAGTTTCTGAGAATGCTTCTGTGTAGTTTTTATGTGAAGATATTTCCTTTTCCACAATAGGCGTCAAAGCACTCCAAATATGCACTTGCAGATTCTACAAAAAGAGTGTTTCAAAACTGCTCCATCAAATGGAAGGTTCAACCCTGTGAGATGAATGCACACATCACAAAGTAGTTTCTCAGAATGCTTCTGTGTACCTTTTATGTGAAGATATTTCCTTTTCCACCATAGGCTGCAAAGGGCTCCAAATATCCACTTGCAGATTCGACAAAAAGTGGGTTTTAAAACTGCTCTATCAAAAGATAGGTTCAACTGTGTGAGTAGCATGCAAACATCACAAAGAAGTTTCTCAGAATGCTTATGTGTAGTTTTTATGTGAATATATTTCCTTTTCCATCACAGGTCTCAAAGTGCTGCAAATATCCACTTGCAGATTCTACAAAAAGAGTGTTTCCAAACTGCTCAATCAAAATTAAGGTTCAACTCTGTGAGATGAAAGCACACATCACAAAGAAGCTTCTCGAAATGCTTCTGTGTAGTTTCTTTGGGAAGATGTTTCCTTTTCCATCATCTGACACAAAGAGCTCCAAATATCCAATTGCAGATTCTAAAAGACGGCAGCTTCAAAACTGCTCTATCAAAAGATAGGTTGAACTCAGCGTGTTGAATACACACTTCACAAAGAAGTTTCTCAGAATGCTTCTGTGTAGTTTCTATGTAAAGATATTTCCTTTGCCACCATAGGCCTCAAAGTGCTCCAAAAATCCACTTGCAGATTCTAAAAAGAGAGTGTTTCTTTTCTGTTTCCATATGAACTTTAAAGTAGTTTTTTCCAATTCTGTGAAGAAAGGCATTGGTAGCTTGATGGGGATGGCATTGAATCTGTAAATTACCTTGGGCAGTATGGCCATTTTCAAGATATTGATTCTTCCTACACATGACCATGGAATGTTCTTCCATTTGTTTGTATCCTCTTTTATTTCCTTGAGCAGTGGTTTGTAGTTCTCCTTGAAGAGGTCCTTCACATCCCTTGTAAGTTGGATTCCTAGGTATTTTATTCTCTTTGAAGCAATTGTGAATGGGAGTTCACTCATAATTTGGCTCTCTGTTTGTCCGTTGTTTGTGTATAAGAATGCTTGTGATTTTTGTACATTGATTTTGTATCCTGAGACTTTGCTGAAGTTGCTTATCAGCTTAAGGAGATTTTGGGCTGAGATAATGGGATTTTCTAGATATACAATCATGTCGTCTGCAAACAGGGACAATTTGACTTCCTCTTTTCCTAATTGAATACCCTTTATTTCCTTCTCCTGCCTAATTGCCTTGGCCAGAACTTCCAACACTATGTTGAATAGGAGTGGGGAGAGAGGGTATCCCTGTCTTGTGCCACTTTTCAAAGGGAGTGCTTCCAGTTTTTGCCCATTCAGTATGATATTGGCTGTGGGTTTGTCATAGATAGCTCTTATTATTTTGAAATACGTCCCATCAATACCTAATTTATTGAGAGTTTTTAGCATGAAGGGTTGTTGAATTTTGTCAAAGGCTTTTTCTGCGTCTGTTGAGATAATCATGTGGTTTTTGTCTTTGGCTCTGTTTATATGGTGGATTACATTTATTGATTTTTGTATATTGAACCAGCCTTGCATCCCAGGGATGAAGCCCAGTTGATCATGGTGGGTAAGCTTTTTGATGTGCTGCTGGATTCGTTTTGCCAGTATTTTATTGAGGATTTTTGCGTCAATGTTCATCAAGGATATTGGTCTAAAATTCTCTTTTTTTGTTTTGTCTCTGCCTGGCTTTGGTATCAGAATGATGCTGGTCTCATAAAATGAGTTAGGGGGGATTCCCTCTTTTCTATTGATTGGAATAGTTTCAGAAGGAATGGTACCATTCCTCCTTGTACCTCTGGTAGAATTCTGCTGTGAATCCATCTGGTCCTGGACTCTTTTTGGTTGGTAAACTATTGATTATTGCCACAATTTCAGATCCTGTTATTGGTCTATTCAGAGATTCAACTTCTTCCTGGTTTAGTCTTGGGAGAGTGTATGTGTCCAGGAATTTATCCATTTCTTCTAGATTTTCCAGTTTATTTGCATAGAGCTGTTTGTAGTATTCTCTGATGGTAGTTTGTATTTCTGTGGGATCAGTGGTGATATCCCCTTTATCATTTTTATTGTGTCTATTTGATTCTTCTCTCTTTTTTTCTTTGTTAGTCTTGCTAGCGGTCTATCAATTTTGTTGATCCTTTCAAAAAACCAGCTCCTGGATTCATTAATTTTTTGAAGGGTTTTTTGTGTCTCTATTTCCTTCAGTTCTGCTCTGATTTTAGTTATTTCTTGCCTTCTGCTAGCTTTTGAATGTGTTTGCTCTTGCTTTTCTAGTTCTTTTAATTGTGATGTTAGAGTGTCAATTTTGGATCTTTCCTGCTTTCTCTTGTGGGCATTTAGTGCTATAAATTTCCCTCTACACACTGCTTTGAATGCGTCCCAGAGATTCTGGTATGTTGTGTCTTTGTTCTCATTGGTTTCAAAGAACATCTTTATTTCTGCCTTCATTTTGTTATGTACCCAGTAGTCATTCAGGAGCAGGTTGTTCAGTTTCCATGTAGTTGAGCGGTTTTGAGTGAGATTCTTAATCCTGAGTTCTAGTTTGATTGCACTGTGGTCTGAGAGATAGTTTGTTATAATTTCTGTTCTTTTACATTTGCTGAGGAGAGCTTTATTTCCAAGTATGTGGTCAATTTTGGAATAAGTGTGGTGTGGTGCTGAAAAAAAATGTATATTCTGTTGATTTGGGGTGGAGAGTTCTGTAGATGTCTATTAGGTCCGCTTGGTGCAGAGCTGAGTTCAATTCCTGGGTATCCTTGTTGACTTTCTGTCTCCTTGATCTGTCTAATGTTGACAGTGGGGTGTTAAAGTCTACCATTATTAATGTGTGGGAGTCTAAGTCTCTTTGTAGGTCACTCAGGACTTGCTTTATGAATCTGTGTGCTCCTGTATTGGGTGCATATATATTTAGGATAGTTAGCTCTTCTTGTTGAATTGATCCCTTTACCATTATGTAATGGCCTTCTTTGTCTCTTTTGATCTTTGTTGGTTGAAAGTCTGTTTTATCAGAGACTAGGATTGCAACCCCTGCCTTTTTTTGTTTTCCATTTCTTGGTAGATCTTCCTCCATCCTTTTATTTTGAGCCTATGTGTGTCTCTGCCCATGAGATGGGTTTCCTGAATACAGCACACTGATGGGTCTTGACTCTTTATCCAATTTGCCAGTCTGTGTCTTTTAATTGGAGCATTTAGTCCATTTACATTGAAAGCAAACACACATAATATTGTTATGTGTGAATTTGATCCTGTCATTATGATGTTAGCTGGTGATTTTGCTCGTTAGTTGATGCAGTTTCTTCCTAGTCTCGATGGTCTTTACATTTTGGCATGATTTTGCAGTGGCTGGTACCGGTTTTTCCTTTCCATGTTTAGTGCTTCCTTCAGGAGCTCTTTTAGGGTAGGCCTGGTGGTGACAAAATCTTTCAGCATTTGCTTGTCTGTAAAGTATTTTATTTCTCCTTCACTTATGAAGCTTAGTTTGGCTGGATATGAAATTCTGGGTTGAAAATTCTTTTCTTTAAGAATGTTGAATATTGGCCCCCACTCTCTTCTGGCTTGTTTGGTTTCTGCCAAGAGATCCGCTGTTAGTCTGATGGGCTTCCCTTTGAGGGTAACCCAACCTTTCTCTCTGGCTGCCCTTAACATTTTTTCCTTCATTTCAACTTTGGTGAATCTGACAATTATGTGTCTTGGAGTTGCTCTTCTTGAGGAGTATCTTTGTGGCATTCTCTGTATTTCCTGAATCTGAACGTTGGCCTACCTTGCTAGATTGGGGAAGTTCTCCTGGATAATATCCTGCAGAGTGTTTTCCAACTTGGTTCCATTCTCCCCATCACTTTCAGGTACACCAATCAGACGTAGATTTGGTCTTTTCACATAGTCCCATATTTCTTGGAGGCTTTGCTCATTTCTTTTTATTCTTTTTTCTCTAAACTTCCCATCTCGCTTCATTTCATTCATTTCATCTTCCATTGCTGATACCCTTTCTTCCAGTTGATCACATCGGCTCCTGAGGCTTCTGCATTCTTCACATAGTTCTCGAGCCTTGGTTTTCAGCTCCATCAGCTCCTTTAAGCACTTCTCTGTGTTGGTTATTCTAGTTACACATTCTTCTAAATATTTCTCAAAGTTTTCGACTTCTTTGCCTTTGGTTTGAATGTCCTCCTGTAGCTCAGAGTAATTTGATCATCTGAAGCCTTCTTCTCTCAGCTCGTCAAAGTCATTCTCCATCAAGCTTCATTCCATTGCTGGTGAGGAACTGCGTTCCTTTGGAGGAGGAGAGGCACTCTGCGTTTTAGAGTTTCCTGTTTTTCTATTCTGTTTTTTCCCCATCTTTGTGGTTTCATCTACTTTTGGTCTTTGATGATGGTGATGTACAGATAGGTTTTTGGTGTGGATGACCTTTCTGTTTGTTAGTTTTCCTTCTAACAGACAGGACCCTCAGCTGCAGGTCTGTTGGAATACTCTGCCATGTGAGGTGTCAGTGTGCCCCTGCTGGGGGGTGTCTCCCAGTTAGGTTGCTCGGGGGTCAGGGGTCAGGGACCCACTTGAGGAGGCAGTCTGCCCATTCTCAGATCTCCAGCTGCATGCTGGGGGAACCACTGCTCTCTTCAAATCTGTCAGACAGGGACATTTAAGTCTGCAGAGGTTACTGCTGTCTTTTTGTTTGTCTGTGCCCTGCCCCCAGAGGTGGAGCCTACAGAGGGAGGCAGGACTCCTTGAGCTGTGGTGGGCTCCACCCATTTCGAGCTTCCAGGCTGCTTTGTTTACCTAAGCAAGGCTGGGCAATGGCGGGCGCCCCTCCCCCAGCCTCGCTGCCGCCTTGCAGTTTGATCGCAGACTGCTGTGCTAGCAATCAGTGAGACTCCATGTATGTAGGGCCCTCCGAGCCAGGTACAGCATATAATCTCATGGTGCGCCATTTTTTAAGCCGGTCCGAAAAGCGCAATATTCAGGTTGGAGTGACCCGAATTTCCAGGTGCGTCCATCACCCCTTTCTTTGACTCGGAAAGGGAACTCCCTGACCCCTTGTGCTTCCCAAGTGAGTCAATGCCTTACCCTGCTTTGGCTCGTGCAAGGTGCGTGCACCCACTGACCTGCACCCACTGTCTGGCACTCCCTAGTGAGATGAACCTGGTACCTCAGATGGAAATGCAGAAATCACCCGTCCTCTGCGTCTCTCATGCTGGGAGCTGTAGACCGGAGCTGTTCCTATTTGGCCATCTTGGCTCCTTCCCCCCGAGACACACTTTTTGTAGTATCTGGAAGTGGACAGTTGGTGTGCTTTGAGGCCTACTGTGAAAAAGGAAATATCTTCACATGAAAACTAGACAGAAGCATTCTCAGAAACTAATTTATGATATGTGTACTCAACTCACAGTGTTCAACCTTTCTTTTGATACAGCAGTTTTGAAACACTCTTTTTGTGGAATCTGTAAGTGGATATTTGGATAGCTTTGAGGATTTCGTTGGAAACGGGAATATCTTCACATAAAAACTAGACAGAACCATTCTCAGAAACTTCTTTGAGATGCTTGCATTCAACTCACAGAGTTGAACATTCCTTTCCATAGAGCTGTTTTGAAACACTCTTTTTGTTGAATCTGTAAGTGGAAAATTGGAGCGCTTTGAAGCCTGTGGTGAAAAAGGATATATCTCCCCATAAAAACTAGATAGAAGAATTCTCAGAAACTTCTTTGTGATGTGTGTTCTCAACTCACAGAGTTGAGCTTTTCTTTTGATAGGGCAGTTTTGAAACACTCTTTTTGTAGAGTCTGCAAGTGGATATTTGTATAGCTTTGAGGATTTCGTTGGAAACGGGAATATCTTCACATAAAAACTAGATAGAAACATTCTCAGGAACTTCTTTATGATGTTTACTTTCAACACACAGGGTTGTATATTCCGTTTCATAGGGCAGTTTTGAAACACTCTTTTTCTACTATCCCGAAGTGGACATTTGGAGCGCATTGAGGCCTATGGTGAAAAAGGGAATATCTTCACATAAAAACTAGACAGAAGCATTCTCAGAAACTTCTTTGTGATGTGTGTACTTAACTCACAGAGTTGAACATTTCTTTTGATACAGCAGTTTTGAAACTCTCTTTTTGTAGAATCTGCAAGTTGATATTTGGATAGCTTTGAGGCTTTCGTTGGAAACGGGAATATCTTCACATAAAAACTAGACAGAAGCATTCTCAGAAACTTCTTTGTGATGCTTGCATTCAATTCACAGAGTTGAACATTCGTTTTCATAGAGCAGTTTTGAAACACTGTTTTTGAAGCAACTGTAAGTGGAAATTTTATCACTTTGAGGTCTATGGTGAAAAAGAAATATCTTCCCATAAGAACTAGACAGAAGAATTCTCAGAAACTTCTTTGTGAAGTGTGTACTCCACTCACAGAGTTGAACTTCTCCTTTGATAGAGCAGTTTTGAAACACTCTTTTTGTAGAGTCTGCAAGTGGCTATTTGAATAGCTTTCAGGATTTCGTTGGAAACGGGAATATCTTCACATAAAAACTAGACAGAAGCAATCTCAGGACCTTCTTTATGATGTTTGCTTTCAACTCACAGAGCTGAACATTCCCTTTCATAGGGCAGTTTTGAAACACTCTTTCTGAACTATCTGGAAGTGGACATTTGGAGCGCTTTGAGGCCTATGGTGAAAAAGTAAATATCTTCACATAAAAACTAGACAGAAGCATTCTCAGAAACTTCTTTCTGATGTGTTTACTCAACTCACAGAGTTGAACATTTCTTTTCATACAGCGGTTTCGAAACTCTCTTTTTGTAGAATCTGCAAGTTGATATTTGTATAGTTTTGAGGCTTTCATTGGAAACGGGAATATCTTCACATAAAAACTAGACAGAAGCATTCTCAGAGACTTCTTTGTGATGCTTCCATTCAACAAATAGAGTTCAACAGTCCTTTTCACAGAGCAGTTTTGAAACACTCTTTTTGAAGAATCTGTAAGTGGAAAATTTAGAGTTTTGAGGCCTATGGTGAAAAAGAAATGTCTTCCCGTAAAAATTAGACAGAAGAATTCTCAGAAACTTCTTTGTGATGTGCGTACCCACTAACAGAGTTGAACTTTTCCTTTGATGAGCAGTTTTGAAACACACTTTTTGCAGAGTCTGCTAGTGGATATTTGGATAGCTTTGAGGATTTCGTTGGAAACGGGAATATCTTCACATAAAAACTAGACAGAAGCATTCTCAGAAACTTCTACGTGATGTTTGCCTTCAAATCACAGAGTTGAACATTCTCTATCATAGAACAGTTTTGAAACACTCTTTTTGTAGTATCTGGAAGTGGACATTTGGAGTGCTTTGAGGCCTATGGTGAAAAAGGAAATATCTTCACATAAAAACTAGACAGAAGCATTCTCAGAAACTACTTTTTGATGTGTGTACTCAAGTCACACTGTTGAACCTTTCTTTTGATAGAGCAGTTTTGAGACACTCTTTTTGTAGAATCTGCAAGTGGATATTTGGATAGCATTGAGGCTTTCGTTGGAAACGGGAATATCTTCACATAAAAACTAGACAGAAGCATTCTCAGAAACTTCTTTGTGATGCCTGCATTGAAATCACAGATTTGAACATTCCTTTTAATAGAGCACCTCTGAAACTCACTTTTTGTAGAATCTGTAAGTGGAAACTTGGAGAGATTTTAGAACTATGGTGAAAAAGGAAATATCTTCCCATAAATACTAGAGAGAAGAATTCTCACAAACTTCTTTGTCATGTGTGTTCTCATCTCACAGAGTTGAGCTTTTCTTTTGATAGAGCAGTTTTGAAACACTTTTTGTAGAGTCTGCAAGTGGATATTTGTGTAGCTTTGAGGATTTCGTTGGAAACGAGAATACCTTCACAAAAAAACCAGACAGAAGCATTCTCAGGAACTTCTTTATGATGTTTGCTTTCACGTCAAGGAGTTGAACATTCCATTTCATAGGGCAGTTTTGAAACACTCTTTTTCTACTATCTGGATGTGGACATTTGGAGCGTTTTGAGGCTTATGGTGAAAAAGGAATTATCTTCACATAAAAACTAGACAGAAGCATTCTCAGGAACTTCATTGTGATGTGTGTACTCAACTCTCAGGGTTGAACATTTCTTTTGATACAGCGGTTTTGAAACTCTCTTTTTGTAGAATCTGCAAGTTGATATTTGGATGACTTTGAGGCTTTCGTTGGAAACGGGAATATCTTCACATAAAAACTAGACAGAAGCATTCTCTGAAACTTCTTTGTGATGTTTTGATTCAATTCACAGAGTTGAACATGCCCTTATATAGAGCAGTTCTAAAACACTCTTTTTGTAGTATCTGGAAGGGGACAATTAGTGCGATTTTGGGCCTACGGTGAAAAACGAAATATCTTCACGTAATAACTAGGCAGAAGCATTCTCAGAAACTTCTTTGTGATGTGTGTACTCAACTGACGGAGTTGAACCTTTCATTGATGCAGTAGTTTTGGAACACTCTTTTTGTAGTATCTGCAAGTGGATATTTTGTTAGCTTTGAGACTTTCGTTGGAAACGGGAATATCTTACATAAAAACTAGACAGAAGCATTCTCAGAAACTTCTTTGTGATGCTTGCATTCACCTCTCAGATTTCAACATTCCTTTTAGTAGAGCAGCTTTGAAACACTCTTTTATAGAATCTGTAAGTGGAAACTTGGAGAGCTTTGAGACCTATGGTGAAAAAGGAAATATCTTCCCATAAAAACTAGACAGAAGCATTCTCAGAAACTACTTTGTGATGTGTGTACTCAACTCACAGAGTTGAACATTTCTCTTGATACAGCAGTTTTGAAACATTATTTTTGTAGAATTTTCAACTGGATATTTGGATAGCCTTGAGGCTTTCATTAGAAATGGGAATATCTTCACATAAAAGCTAGATGGAAGCATTCTCAGAAACTTCTTTGGGATGCTTGCATTCAACTCACAGATTTGAACATTTCTTTTAATAGAGCAGCTTTGAAACACTCTTTTTTAGAATCTGTAAATGGAAACTTGGAGAGCTTTGAGACCTATGGTGAAAAAGGAAATATCTTCCCATAAAAACTGGACAGAAGCATTCTCAGAAACTTCTTTGTGAAGTGTGTTCTCAACTCACAGAATTGAGCTTTTCTTTTGATAGAGCAGTTTTGAAACACTCTTTTTGTAGAGTCTGCAGGTGGATATTTGGATAGCTTTGAGGATTTCTTTGGAAACAGGAATATCTTCACATAAAAACTAGGCAGAAGCATTCTCAGGAACTTCTTTATGTTGTTTGCTTTCAACTCACATAGTTGAACATGCCCTTTCATAGAGCAGTTCTGAAACACTCTTTTTGTAGTATCTGGAAGGGGACAATTGTTGCGCTTTCGGGCCTATGCTGAAAAAGGAAATATCTTCACATAAAAACTAGGCAGAAGCATTCTCAGAAACTTCTTTGTGATGCTTGCATTCAACTCACAGAGATGAACATTCCTTTTAATAGAGCAGCTTTGAAACACTCTTTTTATAGTATCTGTAAGTGGAAACTTGGAGAATTTTGAGACCTATGGTGAAAAAGGAAATATCTTCCCATAAATCCAGACAGAAGAATTCTCAGAAACTTCTTTGTGATTTGTGTACTCAACTCACAGAGTTGATCCTTTCTTTTGTTACAGCAGTTTTGAAACTCTTTTGTGGAATCTGCTGGTGGATATTTTGAGAGCTTTGAGGTTAAGTTGGAAACGGGAATATCTTCACAAAAATACTAGACAGAAGCATTCTCAGAAACTTCTTTTTGGTTCTTGCATTCAACTCACAGCTTTGAAGACTCCTTTCCATGGAGCAGTTTTGAAACACTCTTTTTGTAGAATCTCTAATAGGAAAATTGGAGAGCTTTGAGGCCTATGGTGAAAAAATAAATATCTTACCATACAAACTTGACAGAAGAATTCTCAGAATCTTCTTTGAGATGTGTATACTCAACTCACAGAGTTGAACTTTTTTTTTAACAGAGCAGTTTTAAAACACTCTTTTTGTAGAGTCAGCAACTGGATATTTGGATAGTTTGAGGATTTCATTGGAAATGGCAATATCTTCACATAAATACTACACAGAAACATTCTCAGAAACCTCTTTGTGATGTTTGCATTCAACTCACACAGTTGAACATTCCCTTTCATAGAGCAGTTTTGAAAAACTCCTTTTATAGTATATGGAAGAGAACATTTGGAGCCCTTTGGCGCCTATGGTGTAAAAGGAAATATCGTCACATAAAAAGTAGACAGAAGCATTCTCAGAAGCTTCTTTGAGATGTGTGTACTCAACTCACAGAGTTGATCCTTTCTTTTGACACAGCAGTTTTGAAATACTCTTTTTGTAGAGTCTGCAATGGGATATTTGGATAGATTTGAGGATTTCGTTGGAAACAGGAATATCCTCACATAAAAACTAGACAGAAGCATACTCAGAATCCTCTTTATGATGTTTTCATTGAACTCACAGATTTGAACATTCCCTTTCATAGAGCAGTTTTGAAACAGTCTTTTTGTATTATCTGGAAGTTGACACTTGGAACCCTTTGAGACCTATGGAGAAAAAGGAAATATCTTCACATAAAAACTAGACAGAAGCATTCCCAGAAACTTCTTTGTGATGTGTGTCCTCAACTCAAAGAGTTGATCCTTTCTTTTGATACAGCAATTTTGAAACACTCTTGTAAAATCCGCAAGTGAATATTTGGATAGCCTTGAGGCTTATGTAGGAAACGGTAATATCCTCACATAAAAACTAGACAGAAGCATTCTCAGAAACTTCTTTGTGATGTTTTCATTCAGCTCACAGAGTTGAATATTCCTTTTCATAGAGCAGTTTTGAAAATCTCTTTTTGTAAGATCTGCAAGTGTACACTTGGAGCGATTTGAGATCTATGGTGAAAATGGAAATATCTTCATAAAAAAGTAGACAGAAGCACTCTCAGAAACTACTTTGGGATATGTGTACTCAACTCACAGAGTTAAACCTTTCCTTTGATGCAGCAGTTTTGAAACACTCTTCTTGTAGAATTTACAAGTGGATATTATGTCAGCATTGAGGATTTCGTTGGAAACGGGAATATCTTCACATAAAATAATACAGAAGCATTCTCAGAAACATCTTTGTGATGTGTACATTCAACTCAGAGAGTTGAAACTCTCTTTTGATAGAGCAGATTGGAAACCTTCTATTTGTAGAATTTGCAAGTGGGTATTCGACAGCTTTGAGGCTTTCGCTGGAAACGCGCATATATTCACAAAAAAAACTACAGAGAAGCATTCTCAGAAACTTCTTTGTGATGCTAGCATTCAACTCACAGAGTAGAACATTCCTATTCAGAGAGCAGTTTTGAAACACTCTTTTTGAAAAATCTGTAAGTGGAAACTTGGAGCGCTTTGAGGCCTTTGGTGAAAAAGGAAATATCTTCCCATAAAAACTAGAGAGAAGAATTCTCAGAAACTTCTTAGTGATGTGTGTTCTCAACTCATAGAGTTGACGTTTTCTTTTGATAGAGCAGTTTTAAAACACGCCTTTTGTAGAGCCTGCAAGTGGAAATTTGGATAGCTTTGGGGACTTCGTTGGAAATGGCAATAATTTCCCATAAAAACTAGACTGAAGCATTATCAGGAACTTCTTTATGATGTCTGCTTTCACCTCATGGAGGTGAACATTCCCTTTCTTGGACAGTTTTGAAACACTCTTTTTGTAGTATCTGGAAGTGGACATTTGCAGCGCTTTGAGGCCTATGGTGAAAAAGGAAATATCTTCACATAAAAACTAGACAGAAGCATTCTCATTAACTTCTTTGTGATGCATGTATTCAACTCACAGATTTGAACACTCCTTTTAATAGAGCAGTTTTGAAACACTCTTTTTGTAGAATCTGTAAGTGGAAACTTGGAGTGCTTTGAGGCCTATGGTGAAAAAGGATATACCTTCCCATAAAAACTAGACAGAAGAATTCTCAGATACTTCTTTGTGATGCTTGCATTCAACTCACAGAGTTGAACGTTACCTTTCTTAGAGCAGGTTTGAAACACTCTCTTTGTAGTATCTGGAAGTGAACATTTGGAGCGTTTTGAGGCCTATGGTGAAAAAGGAAATCTCTTCACATAAAAACTAGACAGAAGCATTCTCAGAAACACCTTTGTGATGAGTGTACTCAACTCACAGATTTGAACCTTTGTTTTGATACAGCAGTTTTGAAACACTCTTTTTGTAGAATCTGCAAGTGGATATTTGGAGAGCTTTGACGCTTTTGTTGGAAATGGGATTATCTTCACATAAAAACTAGACAGAAGCATTCTCAGAAACTTCTTTGTGATGTTTTCATTCAACACACAGAGTTGCACATTCCTATTCATACAGCAGTTTTGAAAAACTCTTTTTATAGAATCTGCAAGTGGACATTTGGAGAGATTTGAGACCTATGGTGAAAAAGGAAATATCTTCAAATAAAAAGTAGACAGAAGCATTCTCAGAAACTACTTTGTGATGTGTGTACTCAACTCACAGAGTTAAACCTTTCTTTTGATACAGCAGTTTTGAAACACTCTTCTTGTATAATTTAGAAGCGGATAGTTGGACAGCATTGAGTATTTCGTAAGAAACGGGAATAACTTCACATAAAACTATACAGAAGCATTCTGAGAAACTTCCTGGAGATGTCTGCATTCAACTCACAAAGCTGAAACTTTCTTTCAACAGAGCAGACTGGAAAACCTCTGAAGAATTTGGAAGTGGATATTTGGACAGCTTTGAGGCCTTCGCTGGAAACGGGTATATATTCACTAAAAAACTAGATAGAACCATTCTCAGAAACTACTTTGTGATGCTTGCATTCAACTCACAGAGTGGAACATTCCTTTTCATAGAGCAGTTTTGAAACACTCTTTTTGTAGAATCTGTAAGTGGAAACTTGGAGCACTTTGAGGCCTATGGTGAAAAAGGAAATAACTTCCCATAAAAACTAGACAGAAGAATTCTCAGAAACTTCTTTGTGATGCTTGCATTCAAGTCACAGAGTTGAACATTCTCTTTCTTAGAGCAGGTTTGAAACACTCTCTTTGTAGTATCTGGAAGTGAACATTTGGAGCGTTTTGAGGCCTATGGTGAAAAAGGAAATATCTTCACATAAACATTAGACAGAAACATTCTCAGAAACACCTTTGTGATGTGTGTACTCAACTCACAGATTTGAACCTTTGTTTTGATACAGCAGTTTTGAAATACTTTTTTTGTAGAATCTGCAAGTGGATATTTGGATAGCTTTGACTCTTTCATTGGAAACAGGAATATCTTCACATAAAAACTAGACAGAAGCATTCTCAGAATCTTCGTTGTGATGCTTGCACTCAGCTCACAGAGTTGAACATTCCATTTCATAGAGCAGTTTTGAAAATCTCTTTTTGAAGTATCTGTAAGTGGAAACCTGGGGCGCTTTGAGGCCAATGGTGAAAAAGGAAATATCTTCCCATAAAAACTAGATAGTAGAATTCTCAGAAATTTCTCTGTGATATGTGTACTTCACTCACAGAGTTGAACTTTTCCTTTGATGCAGTAGGTTTGAAACACTCTTTTTGTAGAGTCTGCAAGTGGATATTTGGATAGCTTTGAGGAATTCATTGGAAACGGGAATATCTTCACATAATAACGAGACAGAAGCATCCTCTGAAACTTCTTCTTTATGTTTGCATTCAACTCACAGAGTTGAACATTCCCTATCATAGAGCAGTTTTGACACACTCTTTTTGTAGTATCTGGAAGTGGACCTTTGCAGCACTTTGAGACCAATGGTGAAAAAGGAAATATCTTCACATAAAAACTAGACAGAAGAATTCTCAGAAACTACTTTGTGCTGTGTGTACTCAACTCACAGAGTTGAACATTTCTTTTGATACAGCAGTTTTGAAACATTCTTTTTGTAGAATCTGTAAATGGATATTTGGATATCTTCGAGCCTTTCGTTGGAAATCGTGTTATCTTCACATAAAATCTAGACAGAAGTATTCTCAGAAATTTCTTTGTGATGCTTGCATTCAACTCACATATTTGAATATTCCTTTTAAGAGCAGTTTTGAAACACTCTTTTTGTAGAATCTGTAAGGGGAAACTTGGAGCGCTTTGAGACCTATGGTGAAAAAGGAAATATCTTCCCATAAAAAGTAGACAGAGAAATTCCCAGAAACTTCTTTCTGATGTGTGTACTACACTCACAGAGTTGAACTTTTCCTTTGATAGAGCAGTTTTGAAACATTCTTTTTGTATTATCTGGAAGTGGACATTTGGAGCGCTTTGAGGCCTATGGTGAAAAAGGAAATATCTTCACATAAAAACTAGACAGAAGCATTCTCAGAAACTTGTGATGTGTGTTCTCAACTCACAGATTTGAACCTTTGTTTTGATACAGCAGTTTTGAAACACTCTTTTTGTAGAATCTGAAAGTGGATATTTCGATAGCTTTGAGGCTTTCGTTGGAAACGGGAATATCTTCACATAAAAACTAGACAGAATCATTCTCAGAAACTTCTTTGTGAAGTTTTCATTCAACACACAGAGTTGAAAATTCCTACTCATAGAGCAGTTTTGAAACACTCTTTTTGTAAAATCTGCAAGTGGACACTTTGAGCGATTGGAGACCTATGGTGAAAAAGAAAATATCTTCACATAAAAATTAGTCAGAAGAATTCTCAGAAACTACTTTGTGATGTGTGTACTCAACGTAAAGATTTAAACCTTTCCGTTGATACAGCAGTTTTGAAACACTCTTTTTGTAGAATCTATAAGTGGAAAATTGGAGCCGTTTGAGGCCTATGGTGAAAAAGGAAATATGTTCCCATAAAAACTAGACAGAAGAATTCTCAGAAACTTCTTTGTGATGTGTGTACTCTACTCAGAGAGTTGAAATTTTCTTTTGATAGAGCAGATTTGAAACACTGTTTTTGTAGAGTCTGCTAGTGGATATTTGGATAGCTTTAAGGATTTCTTTGGAAAGGAGAATATCTTCACATAAAAACTAGACAGATGCATTCTCAGAAACTTCTTTGAGATGCTTGCATTCAACTGACAGAGTAGAATATTCCTTTTCATAGAACAGTTTTGAAACACTCTTTTTGTAGAATCTGTAAGTGGAAACTTGGAGCGCTATGAGGCCTTTTGTGAAAAAGGAAATATCTTCCCATAAAAACAAGACAGAAGAATTCACAGAAAGTTTTTGTGATTTGTGTACTCAACTTACAGATTTGAACATTTCTTTTGATAGAGCAGTTTTGAAACACTCTTTATGTAGAATCTGCAAGTTGATATTTGGATAGCTTTGAGGCTTTCGTTGGGAACGGGAATATCTTCACATTAAAACTAGACAGAAGCATTCTCAGAAATTTCTTTGTAATGCTTGCATTCAATTCACGGAGATGGACATTCCTTTTCATAGACCAGCTTTGAAACACTCTATTTGGAGATTCTGTAAGTGGAAAATTTTAGCCCTTTGAGGCCTATGGTGAAAAAGGAAACATGTTCCCATAAAAACCAGACAGAAGAATTCTCAGAAAATTCTCTGTGATGTGTGTACTCAACTCACTGAGTTGAATATTTCTTTTGATAGAGCAGTTTAGAAAGAATCTTTTTCTTGAGTCTGCAAGTGGATATTTGGATAGCTTTGAGGATTTCTTTGGAAACGGGAATATCTTCACATAAACACTAGATAGAAACATTCTCAAAAACTTCTTTGTGATGTTTGCATTCAACTCACAGAGTTGAATATTCCCTGTCATAGAACAGTTTTGAAACACTCTTTTTGTAGTATTTGGAAGAGGACGTTTGGAGCGCTTTGAGGCCTATGATGAAAAAGGAAATATCTTCACGTAAAAACTAGACAGAAGCATTCTCAGAAACTACTTTTTGATGGGTGTATTCAATCCACAGAGTTGAACCTTTATTTTCATACAGCAGTTTTGAAACACTCTTTTTGTAGAATCTGCAAGAGGATATTTAGATAGCTTTGTGGCTTCCGTTGGAAACGGGAATATCTTCACATAAAAATTAGAGAGAAGAATTCTCGGAAACTTCTTTGCGATGCTTGCATTCAACTCACAGATTTGAACATTCCTTTTAATAGAACAGTTTTGAAACACTCTTTTTGTAGACTGTAAGTGGAAACTTGGAGAGCTTTGAGGCATGTGGTGAAAAAGGAAATATCTTCACATAAAACTAGACAGAAGAATTCTCAGAAACTTCTTTGTGATGTCTGTACTCAACTCAGAGTTGAACTTTTCTTTTGATAGGGCAGTTTTGAAACATTATTTTTGTAGAGTCTGCAAGTGGATATTTGGATAGATTTGAGGATTTCGTTGGAAAAGGGAATATCTTCACGTAAAATCTAGACAGAAGCATTCTCAGAAACTTCTTTGTGTTGTTTGCATTCAACTCACAGTGTTGAACATTCCTTTTCATGGAGCAGTTTTGAAACACACTTTTGGTAGAATCTGAACGAGGACATTTGGAGCGATTTGAGACCTATGGTGAAAAAGGAAATATCTTCACATAAAAAGTAGAGAGAAGCATTCTCTGACACTATTGTGTGATGTGTGTACTCAACTAACTGAGTATAACCCTTCCTTTGATGCAGCAGTTTGAAACACTCTTCCTGTAGAATTTACAAGTGGATATTAGGACAGCATTGTGGATTTCTTTGGAAACGGGAATATCTTCACATAAAACTAGACAGAAGCATTCTCAGTAACTTCTTTGTGATGTGTGCATTCAACTCACGGAGTTGAAACTTTCTTTTGATAGGGCAGATTGGAAACCTCTTTTTCTAGAATTTTCAAGTGGATATTTGAAAGCTTTGAGGTCTTCGCTGGAAACGGGTACATATTCACAAAAAAAATAGACAGAAGCATTCTCAGAAACTTCTTTGTGATGCTTGCATTCAACTCACAGAGTAGAACATTCTATTTCAAAGAGCAGTTTTGAAACACTCTTTTTCTAGGATCTGTAAGTGGAAACTTGGTGTGCTTGAGGCCTTTGGTGAAAAAGGAAATATCTTCCCATAAAAACAAGACAGAAGAATTCTCAGAAACTTCTTTGTGATGTTTGCGTTGAACTCACATATTTGAACATTTCTTTTGATATGGCAGTGTTGAAACACTCTTTTTGTAGTATCTGCAAGCAGATATTTGGATAGCTTTGAGGCTTTCGTTGGAAGGGGGAATATCTTCCATAAAAACCAGAGAGAAGCGTTCTCAGAAACTTCTTTGTGATGCTTGCATTCCACTCACAGAGTTGAACATTCCTTTTCATAGAGCAGTTTTGAAATACTCTTTTTGTAGCATCTGTAAGTGGAAACTTGGAGCAGTTTGAGGCCTACAGTGAAAAACGAAATATCCTCCCATATAAATTACACCGAAGCATTATCAGGAACTTCTTTGCGATGCTTGCAATCAACTCACAGATTTGATCATTCCCTTTAATAGAGCAGTTTTGAAATCCTCTTTTTGTAGAATCTGTAAATAGAATATTGGAGAGCTTTGAAGCCTATGGTGAAAAAGGAAATGTCTTCACATAAAAACTAGACAGAATCATTTTCTGAAACTTCTTTGTGATGTGTGTACTCAACTCATATAGTTGAACCTTTATTTTGATACAGCACTGTTGAAACACTCTTTTGTAGAATCTGCAAGTGGATATTTGGATAGCTTTGAGGATTTCGTTGGAAACCTGAATAGCTTCACATAAAAACTAGACAGAAGCATTCTCAGAAACTTCTTGGTGATGCTTGCATTCAACTCACAGAGTTGAAAATTCATTTACATAGAGCAGTTTTGAAACACTCTTTTTGTAGAATCTGTAACTGGAAACTTGGAGTGCTTTGAGACCTATGGTGAAAAAGGCAACATCTTCCCATAAAAACTAGACAGAAGAATTCTCAGAAACTTCTTTGTGATGTGTGTACTCAACTCAAAGAGCAGAATTTTTCTTTTGATACAGCAGTTTGGAAACATTCTTTTTGGAGAGTCTGCAAGTGGATATTTGGATAGCTTTGAGGATTTCGTTGGAATCGAGAATATCTTCACATGAAAACTAGAAAGAAGCATTCTCAGAAAATTCTTTGTGATGTTTGCCTTCAACTCACAGAGCTGAACATTGCCTGTCATAGAGCACTTTTCAAGCACTCTTTTTGTAGTATCTGGAAGTGGACATTTGGTGCGCTTTGAGGCCAATGCTGAAAAAGGAAATATCTTCACATAAAAACTAGACAGAAGCATTCTCAGAAACTACTTTGTGATGTGTGTACTCAACTCACAAAATTGATCCTTTCTTTTTATACAGCAGTTTTGAAACACTCTTTTTGTAGAAAATGCAAGTGGATATTTGATAGCTTTGAAGCTTTCATTGGAAAAGGGAATGTCTTCACATAAAAACTAGACAGAAGCATTCTCAGAAACGTCTTTGCGAAGCTTGCATTCAACTCACAGATTTGATCATTCCTTTTAATAGAGCAGTTTAGAAAAACTCTTTTTGTATAATCTGTAAGTGGAAACTTGGAGAGTTTTGAGGCCTATGGTGAAAAAGGAAATATCTTCCCATAAATCTAGACAGAAGAATTCTCAGAAACTCCTTTGTGATATGTGCACTCAACTCAGAGTTGAACTTTTCTTTTGATAGAGCAGTTTTGAAACACTCTTTTTATAGAGTCTACAAGTGGATATTGGGATAGATTTGAGGCTTTGGCTGGAAACGGTAATATCTTCACATGAAAACTAAACAGAAGCATTCTCAGAAACTTCTTTGTGATGTTTGCATTCAACTCACAGAATTGAACATTCCCTTTCAAAGAACAATTTTGAAACACTCTTTTTGTGGTATCTGGAAGTGTACATTTGGAGCCCTTTGAGACCTATGGTGAAAAAGGAAATATCTTCACATAAAAACTAGACAGAAGCATTCTCAGAAACTTCTTTGTGATGTGTGTACTCAACTTACGGAGTTGATCCTTTCTTTTGATACAGCAGTTTTGAAACACTCTTTTGTATAATCTGCGTCTGGATATTTGGATATCTTTGAGGCTTTCGTTAGAAACGGGACTATCTTCACATAAAAAACTAGACAGAAGCATTCTCAGAAACTACTTTGTGATGCTTGCATTCAACTCACAGAGTTGAACATTCTTTTTCAGAGAGCAGTTTTGAAACTCTTTTTGAAGAATTTGTAAGTGGAAATATTTAGCGCTTGGAGGCCTATGGTGAAAAAGGAAATATGTTCCCTTAAAACCAGAGAGAAAAATTCTCAGAAACTTCTTTGTGATATGTGTTCACCACCCACAGAGTGGAACTTTTCTTTTGATAGAGCAGTTTTTAGACTCTCTTTTTGTAGAGTCTGAAAGTGGATATTTAGATAGCTTTGAGGATTTCGTTGGAAACTGGAATATCTTCACATAAAGTAGACAGAAGCACTCTCAGAAACTTCTTTAGGATGTTTGCATTCAACTCACAGAATTGAACATTCCCTTTCAAAGAACAATTTTGAAACACTCTTTTTGTGGTATCTGGAAGTGGACATTTGGAGCCCTTTGAGACCTATGGTGAAAAAGGAAATATCTTCACATAAAAACTAGACAGAAGCATTCTCAGAAACTTCTTTGTGATGTGTGTACTCAACTTACAGAGTTGATCCTTTCTTTTGATACAGCAGTTTTGAAACACTCTTTTGTATAATCTGCGTCTGGATATTTGGATATCTTTGAGGCTTTCGTTGGAAACGGGACTATCTTCACATAAAAACTAGACAGAAGCATTCTCAGAAACTACTTTGTGATGCTTGCATTCAACTCACAGAGTTGAACATTCCTTTTCAGAGAGCAGTTTTGAAACTCTTTTTGAAGAATCTGTAAGTGGAAATATTTAGCGCTTGGAGGCCTATGGTGAAAAAGGAAATATGTTCCCTTAAAACCAGAGAGAAAAATTCTCAGAAACTTCTTTGTGATATGTGTTCACCACTCACAGAGTGGAACTTTTCTTTTGATAGAGCAGTTTTTAAACTCTCTTTTTGTAGAGTCTGAAAGTGGATATTTAGATAGCTTTGAGGATTTCGTTGGAAACTGGAATATCTTCACATAAAGTAGACAGAAGCACTCTCAGAAACTACTTTGGGATGTTTGCATTCAACTCACGGAGTTAAACATTCCCTTTCATAGAGCAGTTTTGAAATACTCTTTCTCTAGTATCTGGAAGTGGACATTTTGTGCGCTTTGAGGCCAATGTTGAAAAAGGAAATATCTTCCCATAAAAACTAGACGGAAGCATTCTCAAAACCTTCATTTTTTTATGATTTGAAATGATTTATTTTGTACATTTATATATGGGATCTCAAATTTTCATAATTTATTAATATATTTAGGTTACATATTTTCTTTTACTTTTCTTTTTTTTTTCTTTTATTATTATACTTTAAGTTTTAGGGTACATGTGCACATTGTGAAGTTTAGTTACATATGTATACATTTGCCACGCTGGTGCACTGCACCCACTAACTCCTCATCTAGCATTAGGTATATCTCCCAATGCTATCCCTCCCCCCTCTCCCCACCCCACAACAGTCCCCAGAGTGTGATATTCCCCTTCCTGTGTCCATGTGATCTCATTGTTCAATTCCCACCTAAGAGTGAGAATACGCGGTGTTTGGTTTTTTGTTCTTGCAATACTTTACTGAGAATGATGATTTCCAATTTCATCCATGTCCCTACAAATGACATGAACTCATCATTTTTTATGGCTGCATAGTATTCCATGGTGTATATGTGCCACATTTTCTTAATCCAGTCTATCATTGTTGGACATTTGGGTTGGTTCCAGGTCTTTGCTATTGTGAATAGTGCCACAATAGACATACGTGTGCATGTGTCTTTATAGCAGCATGATTTATACTCCTTTGGGTATATACCCAGTAATGGGATGGCTGGGTCAAATGGTATTTCTAGTTCTAGATCCCTGAGGAATCACCACACTGACTTCCACAAGGGTTGAACTAGTTTACAGTCTCACCAACAGTGTAAAAGTGTTCCTATTCCTCCACATCCTCTCCAGCACCTGTTTTTTCCTGACTTTTTAATGATTGCCATTCTAACTTGTGTGAGATGGTATCTCATTGTGGTTTTGATTTACATTTCTCTGATGGCCAGTGATGATGAGCATTTTTTCATGTGTTTTTTGGCTGCATAAATGTCTTCTTTTGAGAAGTGTCTGTTCATGTCCTTAGCCCACTTTTTGATGGGGTTGTTTGTTTTTTTCTTGTAAATTTGTTTGAGTTCATTGTAGATTATGGATATTAGCCCTTTGTCAGATGAGTAGGTTGCAAAAATTTTCTCCCATTTTGCAGGTTGCCTGTTCACTCTGATGGTAGTTTCTTTTGCTAATACTGCAATTTTCAAACATTCTTTTTATAGTATCTGGACGTGTACATTTCATGCCCTTTGAGACAAATGGTGAAAAAGGAAATGTCTTCACATAAAAACTAGACAGAAGCATTCTCAGAAACCACTTTGTGATGTCTGTACTGAACTCACAGAGTTGCACCATTCTTTTGATACAGCAGTTTTCAAACACTCTTTTTGTAGAATCTGCAAGTGGATATTTGGATACCTTTGAGGTTTTCTTTGGAAATGGAAATATCTTCACATAAAAACTAGACAGAAGCATTCTCAGAAACTTCTTTGTGATGTTTACATTCAACTCACAGATTTGATCATTTGTTTTAATAGAACAGTTTTGAAACACTCTTTTTGTAGAATCTGTAAGTGGAAACTTGGAGAGCTTTGAGGCCTATGGTGAAAAAGGAAATATCTTCCCATAAAACTACACACAAGAATTCTCAGAAACTTCTTTGTGATATGTGCACTCAACTCAGAGTTGAACTTTTCTTTTGATAGAGCAGTTTTGAAAAATTCTTTTTGTAGAATCTGCAAGTGGATATTTGGATAGCTTTGAGGATATCGTTGGAAACGGGAATATCTTCACCTAAAAACTAGACAGATGCATTCTCAGAAACTTCTTGGTGATGTTTGCATTCAACTCACAGACTTGAACATTCCCTTGCATAGAGCAATTTTGAAACACTCTTTTTGTAGTATCTGGAATTGGACATTTGGAGCCCTTTGAGACCTATGGTGAAAAAGGAAATATCTTCACATAAAAACTAGACAGAAGCATTCTCAGAAACTTCTTTATGATGTGTGTACTCAACTTACAGAGTTGATTCTTTCTTTTGATACAGCAGTTCTGAAACACTCTTTTGTAGAATCTGCATGTGGATATTTGGATAGCTTTGAAGCTTTTGTTGGAAACGGGAATATCTTCACATAAAAACTAGACAGAAGCATTCTCAGAAACTACTTTGTGATGCTAACATTCAACTCACAGCGTTGAACATTCCTTCTCAAAGAGCAGTTTTGAAACACTCTTTTTGAAGAATCTGTAAGTGGAAACATTTAGCGCTTTGAGGCCTATGGTGAAAAAGGAAATATGTTCCCTTTAAAATTAGACAGAAGAATTCTCAGAAACTTCTTCGTGATATGTGTACTCCACTTACAGAGTTGAACTTTTCTTTTGATAGAGCAGTTTTGAAACACTCTTTTTGTAGAGTCTGCAAGTGGATATTTGGATAGCTTTGAGGATTTCATTGGAAACGGGAATATCTTCACATAAAAACTAGACAGAAGCATTTTCAGAAACTTCTTTGAGATGTTTGCATTCAACTCATAGAGTTGAACATTCCCTTTCATAGAGCAGTTTTGAAACACTCTTTTTGTAATATTTGAAATTGGACATTTGGAGTCCTTTGAGACCTATGGTGAAAAAGGAAATATCTTCACATAAAAACTAGACAGAAGCATTCTCAGAAACTTCTTTGTGATGTGTGTACTCAACTTACAGAGTTGATTCTTTCTTTTCATACAGCAGTTTGGAAACACTCTTCGTATAGAATTTACAAGTGTATATTAGGACTTCATTATGCATTTCGTTGGAAACGGGAATATCTACACATAAAACTAGACAGAAGCATTCTCAGAAACTTCTTTGTGATGTGTGCATTCAACTCACAGAGTTGAAACTTTCTTTTGATAGGGCAGATTGGAAACCCTCTTTTTGTATAATTTGCAAGTGGATATTTTGAAAGCTTTGAGTTCTTCGCTAGAACAATGTATATATTCACACAAAAACTAGACGGAAGCATTCTCTGAAACTTCTTTGTGATGCTTGCATTCAACTCACAGAGTAGAACAATCCTTTTTATAGAGCAGTTTTGAAACACTCTTTTTGTAGAATCTGTAAGAGGAAACTTGGAGCGCTTTGAGGCCTTTGGTGAAAAAGGAAATATCTTCCCATAAAAATTAGACAGAAGAATTCTCAGAAACTTCTTCATGATGTTTGCATTCAACTCACAGATTTGAACCTTTCTTTTGATACAGCAGGTTTGAAACACTGTTTTTGTAGGATCTGCAATTGGATATTTGGATAGCTCTGAGGCTTTCGCTGCAAACGGGAATATCTTCACATAAAAACTAGACAGAGGCATTCTCAGAAACTTCTTTATGATGCTTGCATTCAACTCACGGAGGTGAATATTCCTTTTCATAGAGCAGTTTTGAAACACTCTTTTTGTAGAATCTGTAAGTGGAAACTTGGAGCTCATTGATGCCTACGGTGAAAAACGAAATATCTTCCCATAAAAACTAGACTGAAGAATTCTCAGAAACTTCTTTGTGATGTGTGTACTCAACTCACAGAGTTGAACTTTTCTATTGATAGAGCAGTTTTGAAACACTCTTTTTGTTGAGTCTGCAAGTGGATATTTAGAGAGCTTTGAGGATTTCGTTGGAAACGGGAATATCTTTGCATAAAAATTAGACAGAAGCATTCTCAAAAACTTCTTTGTGATGTTTTCATTCAACTCACAGAGTTGAACAATCCCTGTCAAAGTGCAGTTTTGAAAAACTCTTTTTGTAGTATTTAGAGGTGGACATTTGGAGCGCTTTGTGGCTTATGGTAAAAAAGGAAATATTGTCACATAAAAACTAGACAGAAGCATTCTGAGAAACTACTTTGTGATGTGTGTGCTCAACTCACAGAGTTGAACCTTCTTTTCATACAGCAGTTTTGAAACACTCTTTTTATAGAATCTGCAAGTGGATAATTGGATAGCTTTGAGGATTTTGATGGAAACGGGTATATCTTCACATAGAAAGTAGACAGAAGCATTCTCAGAAACCACTTGGCAATGTTTGCATTCAACTCACTGATTTGATCATTCCTTTTAATAGAGCAGTTTTGAAACAATCTTTTTGAAGAATCTGTAAGTGGGAACTTGGAGAGCTTTGAGGCTTATGGTGAAAAAGAATACATCTTCCCATAAAACTAGACAGAGGAATTCTCAGAAACTTCTTTGTGATGTGTGTACTCAACTCAGAGTTGAACTTTTCTTTTGATAGGTCAGGTTTGAAACACTCTTCTTGTAGAGTCTGCAAGTGGATATTTGGATAGTTTTGAGGATTTCGTTGGAAATGGGAATATCTTCACATAAAAACTAGACAGAAGCATTCTCAGAAACTTCTTTGTGATGTTTGCATTCAAATCACAGATTTGCACGTTCCCTTTCATAGAGCAGTTTTGAAACACGCTTTTTGTAGTATCTGGAAGTGGACATTTGGAGCCCTTTGAGACCTATGGTGAAGAACGAAATATCTTCACATAAAAACTAGACAGACGCATTCTCAGTAACTTCTTTTTGATGTGTGTACTCAACTTACAGAGTTGATCCTCTCTTTTGATACAGCAGTTTTGAAACACTCTTTTGTACAATCTGCAAGAGGATATTTGGATAGTTTTGAGGCTTTCATTGGAAACAGGAATATCTTCCCACAAAAACTAGATGGAAGCTTTCTCAGAAACTTCTTTCTGATGCTCGCATTCAACTCACAGAGTTCAACATTCCGTTTCATAGAGCAGTTTTGAAACACTCTTTTTGGATAATCTGCAAGTGGACATTTGGAACGATTTGAGACCTATGTTGAAAAAGGAAATATCTTCCCATAAAAAGTAGACAGAAGTATTCTCAAACACTACTTTGTGATGTGGGTACTCAACTCACAGAGTTAAACCTTTCCTTTGATGCAGCAGTTTTGAAACACTCTTTTTGTAGAATCTGTAAGTGGAAACTTGGAGAGCTTTGAGACCTATGGTGAAAAAGGAAATATCTTCCCATAAAAAGTAGACAGAGAAATTCTCAGAAACTTCTTTCTGATGTGTGTAATCCACTCACAGATTTGATTGAACTTTTTATTTCATAGTGCAGTTTTGAAACACTCTTTTTGTAGTATCTGGAAGTGGACATTTGGAGTGCTTTGAGGCCTATGGTGAAAAAGGAAATCTCTTCCCATAAAAACTAGACAGAAGCATTCTCAGAAACTTGTTTTTGATGGGTGTACTCAACTAACAGAGTTGACCCTTTCTTTTGATAGAGCAGTTTTGAAACACTCTTTTTGTAGAATCTGCTAGTAGATATTTGGATAGCTTTGAGTCTTTTGTTGGAAACGGGAATATCTTCACATAAAAACTAGACAGAAGCATTCATGGAAACTTCTTTGAGATTCTTGCATTCAACTCACAGAGTTGAACATTCGTTTCCTTAGAGCAGTTGTGAAACACTCTTTTTGTAGAATCTGCAAGTGGAAATTTGGTGCGCTTTGATTCATGTGCTGAAAAAGGAAGTATCTTCCCATAAAAGCTAGAGAGAAGAATTCTCAGAAACTTCTTTGTGATGTGTGTTCTCCACTCACAGAGTTGAGCTTTTCTTTTGATAGAACAGTTTTGAAACACTTTTTTTGTAGAGTATGCAAGTGGATATTTTGATAGCTGTGAGGATTTCGTTGGAAACAGGAATATATTCACATAAAAACTAGACAGAAGCATTCTCAAGAACTTCTTTATCATGTTTGCTTTCAACTCACAGAGTTGAACATTCCCCTTCATTGTGCAGTTTTGAAACACTGTTTTTCTACTATCTGGAAGTGGACATTTGGAGCGCTTTGATGCCTATGGTGAAAAAGGAAATGTCATCACATAAAAACTAGACAGAAGCATTCTCAGAAACTACTTTGTGATGTGTGTACTCAACACACAGAGTTGAACATTTCTTTTCATACAGCAGTTTTGAAACTCACTTTTTGAAGAATCTGCAAGTTGATATTTGGATAGTTTTGAGGCTTTCGTTGGAAACGGGAATATCTTCACCTAAAAACTAGACAGAAGCTTTCTCAGAAACTTCTTTGTGATGCTTGCATTCAACTCACGGAGTTGAACATTCCTTTGATAGAGCAGTTTTGAAACGCTCTTTTTGTAGAGTCTGCAAGTGGATATTTGGATTGCTTTGAGGATTTCATTGGAAACGGGAATATCTTCACATAAAAACTAGACAGAAGCATTCTCAGAAAAATCTTTGTGATGTTTGCATTCAACTGGCAGAGTTGAACATTCCCTATCATAGAGCAGTTTTGAAACACTCTTTTTGTAGTATCTGGAAGTGGACATTTGGAGCTCTTTGATGCCTTTGGTGAGAAAGGAAATGTCTTCACATAAGAACTATGCAGAAGCATTCTCAGAAACTACTTTGTGATGTGTGTACTCAACTCACAGAGTTGAATATTTCTTTTGATACAACAGTTTTGAAACACTCTTTTTGCAGAATCTGCCAGTGGATATTTGGATAGCCATGAGGCTTTCATTGGAAACGGAAATATCTTCACATAAAAACTAGACAAGCATTCTCAGAAATTTTTGTGATGCTTGCATTCAACTCACAGATTTGAACATTCATTTTAATACAGCAGTTTTGAAAGACTCTTTTTGTAGAATCTGTAAGTGGAAACTTGGAGAGCTTTGAGGTCTATGGTGAAAAAGAAATATCTTCCCTGAAAAAGGAGAGAGAAGAATTCACAGAAACTGCTTTGTGATGTGTGTACTCCACTCACATAATTGAACTTTTCCTTTGATAGAGCAGTTTTGAAACACTCTTTTTTTAGAGTCTGCAAGTGGATATTTGGATAGCTTTGAGGATTTCTTTGAAAACGGAAATATCTTCACATAAAAACTTGACAGAAGCATTCTCAGAAACATCGTTGTCATGTTTGCATTCAACTCACAGAGTGGAACATTCCCTATCATAGAGCAGTTTTGAAACACTCTTTTTATAGTATCTGGAAGTGGACATTTGGAGCACTTTGAGGCCTAAGGTGAAAAAGGATATATCTTCACATCAAAACTAGACAGAAGCATTCTCAGAAACTACTTTGTGATGTGTGTTCTCAGCTAACAGAGTTGAACATTTCTTTTCATACAGCAGTTTTGAAACATTCTTTTTGTAGATCCTGCAAGTGGATATTTGTATACCTTTGAGGCTTTCGTTGGAAACCGGAATATCTTCACATATAAACTATATAGAAGCATACTCTGAAACTTCTTTTTGATGTTTCGATTCAACTCACAGAGGTGCACATGCCCTTTCATAGAGCAGTTCTGAAACACTCTTTTTGTAGTATCTGGAAGGGGACACTTTGTGCACTTTGGGCCTATGCTGAAAAAGGAAATATCTTCACGTAAAAACTAGGTAGAAGCTTTCTCAGGAACTTCTTTGTGATGCTTGCATTCAACTCAAAGGTTTGAACATTCCTTTTTTTTTTTTTTTTTTATACTCTAAGTTTTAGGGTACATGTGCATATTGTGCAGGTTAGTTACATATGTATACATGTGCCATGCTGGTGCGCTGCACCCACTAATGTGTCATCTAGCATTAGGTATATCTCCCAATGCTATCCCTCCCCCCTCCCCCGACCCCACCACAGTCCCCAGAGTGTGATATTCCCCTTCCTGTGTCCATGTGATCTCATTGTTCAGTTCCCACCTATGAGTGAGAATATGCGGTGTTTGGTTTTTTGTTCTTGCGATAGTTTACTGAGAATGATGGTTTCCAATTTCATCCATGTCCCTACAAAGGATATGAACTCATCATTTTTTATGGCTGCATAGTATTCCATGGTGTATATGTGCCACATTTTCTTAATCCAGTCTATCATTGTTGGACATTTGGGTTGGTTCCAAGTCTTTGCTATTGTGAATAGTGCCGCAATAAACATACGTGTGCATGTGTCTTGAGCAGTTTTGAAACGCTCTTATTGTAGAATCTGTAAGTGGAAAGTTGGAGAGCTTTCAGACCTATGGTGAAAAAGGAAATATCTTCCCATTAAAACTAGACAGAAGAATTCTCAGAAACTTCTCTGTGATGTGTGTACTTACCTCACAGATTTGAACATTTCTTTGGATAGAGCAGTTTCGAAACACTCTTTTTGTAGAGTCTGCATGTGGATATTTGGATAGCTTTGAGGATTTCGTTGGAAGCGGGAATGTCGTCACATAAAAACTGGACAGAAACATTCTCCGAAACTCCTTTGTGATGTTTCAATTCAACTCGCAGAGTTGAACATGCCCTTTAATAGAGCAGTTCTGAAACACTCTTTTTGTGGTGTCTGGAAGGGGACACTTGGTGCGCTTTTGGGCCTATGGTAAAAAAGGAAATATCTTCATGTAAAAACTAGACAGAAGCATTCTCAGAAACTTCTTTGTGATGTGTGTACTCAACTCACGGAGTTGAACCTTTCTTTTGATACAGCAGTATTGCAACCCTGCTTTTGTAGTATCTGCAAGTGGATATTTTGTTAGCTTTGAGGCTTTCGTAGGACACGGGAATATCTTCTCATAAAAACTAAACAGAAGCATTCTCAGAAACTTCTTTGTGATGCTTGCGTTCAACACACAGAGTTGACCATTCCTTTTCATAGAACAGTTTTAAAACACTCTTTTTGAAGTATCTGTAAGTGGAAGTTTGGAGCGCTTTGAGGCCTATGTTGAAAAAGGAAATATTTTCCCATAAAAACTAGACAGAAAAATTCTCACAAACTTCTTTGTGATGTGGGTTCTCAACTCACAGAGTTGATCTTTTCTTTTGATAGAGCAGTTTTGAAACACTAGTTTTGTAGAGTCTGCAAGTGGATGTATGGATAGCTTTGAGGATTTCTTTGGAAAAGGGAATATCTTCACATAAAAACTAGGCAGAAGCATTCTCAGAAACTTCTTTGTGATGTTTGGACTCAACTCACTGAGTTGAATATTCCCTTTCATAGAGCAGTTTTTAAATACTCTTTTTGTAGTATCTGGAAGTGGACATTTGGTGTGCTTTGAGGCCTATGGTGAAAAAGGAAATAGCTTCATATAAAAGCTAGACAGAAGCATTCTCAGAAACTTCTTTATGATGTGTATACTCAACTCACAGGGTTGAACTTTTCTTTTGATACAGTAGTTTTGAAGCACTCTTTTTGTAGAATCTTCAAGTGGATATTTGGATAGCTTTGAGGCTTTTGTTGGAAACGGGAATATCTTCACATAAAAACTAGACAGAAACATTCTCAGAAACTACTTTGTGATACTTGCATTCAACTCACAGAGTTGAACATTCCTTTTCATAGAGCAGTTTTGAAACACTCGTTTTGAAGAATCTGTAAGTTGAAATTTTAGTGCTTTGAGGCCTATGGTGAAAAAGAAATATCTTCCCATAAAAACTAGACAGAAGAATGCTCAGAAACTTCTTTGTGATATTTGTACTCCACTCACAGTGTTGAAACTTTCTTTTGATACAGCAGTTCTGAAATACTCTTTTTGTAGAATCTGCAAGTTGATATTAGGATAGTTTTGAGGCTTTTGTTGGATACGGGAATATCTTCACATAAAAACTAGACAGAAACATTCTCAGAGACTTCTTTGCGATGTTTGCATTCATCTGACAGAGTTGAACATTCCCTATCATAGAAAAGTTTTAAAACACTCTTTTTGTAGTATCTGGAAGTGGACATTTGGAGCACTTTGAGGCCTATGGTGAAAAAGGTAATATCTTCACATGAAAACTAGACAGAAGCATTCTCAGAATCTACTTTGTGATGTGTGTACTCAACTCACAGAGTTGAACATTTCTTTTGATACAGCAGTTTTGAAACATTCTTTTTGTAGAATCTGCAAGTGGATATTTGGATAGCCTTGAGGCTTTCTTTGGAAACGGGAGTATCTTCACATAAAAACTAGACAGAAGTATTCTCAGAAACATCTTTGTGATGCTTGCATTCAACTCACAGAGTTGAACATTCCTTTTCATAGAGCAGTTTTGAAACACTCTTTTTGAAGTATCTGCAAGTGGAAATTTTAGCACTTTGAGGCCTATGGTGAAAAAGGAAATATCTTGACATAAAAACTAGACAGAAGCATTCTCAGAAACTTCTTTTTGATATGTGTACTCAACTCACAGTGTTGAACATTTCTTTTGATACAGCGGTTTTGAAACTCTCTTTTTGTAGAATCTGCAAGATGATATTAGGATAACTTTGAGGCTTTTGTTGGAAACGGGAATATCTTCACATAAAAACTAGACAGAAGCATTCTCTGAAACTTCTTTGTGATGTTTCGATTCAACTCACAGACTTAAACATGCCCTTTCATAGAGCAGTTCTGAAACACTCTTTTTGTAGTATCTGGAAGGGGACACTTGGTGCGCTTTTGGGCCTATGGTGAAAAAGGAAATATCTTCACGTAAAAACTAGACAGAAGCATTCTCAGAAACTTCTTTGTGATGTGTGTACTCAACTCACGGAGTTGAACTTTTCTTTTGATAGAGCCGTAGTGAAACACTCTTTTTGTAGTATCTGCAAGTGGATATTTTGTTAGCTTTGAGGCTTTCGTTGGAAACGGGAATATCTTCTCATAAAAACTAAACAGAAGCATTCTCAGAAACTTCTTTGTGATGCTTGCATTGAACTCACAGAGTTGAACATTCCTTTTCATAGAGCACTTTTGAAACACTCTTTTTGTAGAATCTGCAAGTGGAAGCTTGGAGCGCTTTGAGGCCTATGGTGAAATAGGAAATATCTTCCCATAAAAACTAGACAGAAGAATTCTCACAAACTTCTTTGTGATGTGTGTTCTCAACTCACAGAGTTGATCTTTTCTTTTGATAGAGTAGTTTTGAAATACTGGTTTTGTAGGGTCTGCAAGTGGATATATGGATAGCTTTGAGGATTTCTTTGTAAAACGGAATATCTTCTCCTTAAAGCTAGACAGAAGCATTCTCAGAAACTTCTTTGTGATGTTTGGACTCAACTCACAGAGTTGAATATTCCCTTTCATAGAATAGTTTTGAAACACACTTTTTGTAGTATCTGAGAGTGGACATTTGGTGTGCTTTGAGGCCTACAGTGAAAAAGGAAATATCTTCACATAAAAACTAGACAGAAGCATTCTCAGAAACTTCTTTATGATGTATGTACTCAACTCACAGTGTTGAACATTTATTTATTTATTTATTTATTTATTTATTTTTGTTGATCATTCTTGAGTGTTTCTCGCAGAGGGGGATTTGGCAGAGTCATAGGACAATAGTGGAGGGAATTTCAGTAGATAAACAAGTGAACAAAGGTCTGTGGTTTTCCTAGGCAGAGGACCCAGCGGCCTTCCGCGGGTGTTTGTCTCCCTGGGTACTTGAGATTAGGGAGTGATGATGACTCTTAAGGAGCATGCTGCCTTCAAGCATCTGTTTAACAAAGCACATCTTGCACAGCCCTTAATCCATTTAACCCTGAGTGGACACAGCACAAGTTTCAGAGAGCACAGGGTTGGGGGTAAGGTCATAGATCAACAGCATCCCAATGCAGAAGAATTTTTCTTAGTACAGAACAAAATGAAGTCTCCCATGTCTACTTCTTTCTACACAGACACAGCAACAATCTGATTTCTCTAACTTTTCCCCACCTTTCCCCCTTTTCTATTCCACAAAACCACCATCATCATCATGGCCCGTTCTCAATGAGCTGTTGGGTCCACATCCCAGACGGGGTGGCGGCCGGGCAGAGGGGCTCCTCACTTCCCAGAAGGGGCGGCCGGGCAGAGGTGCCCCCCACCTCCAGGACAGGGTGGCTGGCCGGGCGGAGGTGCCCCCCACTTCCCTCCCGGATGGGGCGGCTGGCCGGGCGGGGGCTGACCCCCCACCTCCCTACCAGATAGGGTGGCTGGCCGGGTGGGGACTGACCACCCACCTCCCTCCCGGACGGGGCGGCTGGCCGGGTGGGGGCTGACCACCCACCTCCCTCATGGACGGGGTGGCTGGCCGGGCAGGGGCTGACCCCCCATCTCCCTCCCAGATGGAGTGGCTGGCTGGGCGGGGGCTGTCCCCCACCTCCCTCCCAGGCGGGGTGGCTGCCGGGTGGAGATGTTCCTCACTTCCCAGACGGGGTGGCTGCTGGGTGGAGGGGCTCTTCACATCTCAGACAGGGCAGCTGCTGGACAGAGGGGCTCCACACTTCTCAGATGGGGCAGCTGCTGGGCAGAGGGGCTCCTCACTTCTCAGGCGGGGTGGCTGCCGGGTGGAGGGGCTCCTCACCTCTCTAATGGGGTGGCCAGGCAGAGATGCTCCTCACCTCCCAGACGGGATTGCAGCTGGGCTGAGGCACTCCTCACATCCCACACGGGGTGGAGGGGCAGAGGTGCTCCCCACATCTCAGACGATGGGTGGCTGGGCAGAGATGCTCCTCACTTCCTAGATGGGATGGCGGCCGGGAAGAGGCGCTCCTCACTTCCTAGACTGGGCAGCCGGGCAGAGGGGTTCCTCACATCCCAGATGACGGGTGGCCAGGCAGAGACACTCCTCACTTCCAAGACGGGGTGGCGGCTTGGCAGAGGCTGCAATCTTGGCTCTTCAGGAGGCCAAGGCAGGCAGCTGGGAGGTGGAGGTTGTAGCCAGCCGAGATCATGCCACTGCACTCCAGCCTGGGCAACATTGAGCACTGAGTGAACGAGACGCCATCTGCAATCCCAGCACCTCGGGAGGCCAAGGCTGGCAGATCACTCACGGTTAGCAGCTGGAGACCAGCCCGGCCAACACAGTGAAACCCTGTCTCCACCAAAAAAAATACGAAAACCAGTCAGGCGTGGCGGCATGCACGTGCAATCGCAGGCACTCAGCAGGCTGAGGCAGGAGAATCAGGCAGGGAGGTTGCAATGAGCCGAGATGGCAGCAGTACAGTCCAGCTTCGGCTCGGCATCAGAGGGAGACAGTGGAAAGAGAGGGAGAGGGAGGCCATGTGGAGATGGAGACAGAGGGAGAGGGAGAGGAAGAGGGAGAGGGAAAGGGAGACCGTGTGGAGATGGAGACAGAGGGAGAGGGAGAGGAAGAGGGAGAGGGAAAGGGAGACCGTGCAGAGAGGGAGACAGAGGGAGAGGGAGAGGGAGAGGGAGAGGGATGAACATTTCTTTTCATACAGCAGTTTTGAAATACTCTTATTGTAGAATCTGCAAGTTAATATTTGGATAGATTTGAGGCTTTCGTTGGAAACGGGAATATCTTCTCATAAAAACTAAACAGAAGCATCCTCAGAAACTTCTGGTGATGCTTGAATTCAACTCACAGAGTTGAACATGGCTTTCCATAGAGCAGTTTTGAAACACTCTTTCTGCAGAATCTTCAAGTTGACATTTGGATAGATATGAGGCTTTCATTGGAAACGGGAATATCTTCACATAAAAACTAGACAGAAGCATTCTCAGAGACTTCTTTGTGATGTTTGCATTCAACTGACAGAGTTGAACATTCCCTATCATAGAACAGTTCTGAAACACTCTTTTTCGAGTAACTGGAAGTGGACATTTGGAGCGCTTTGAGGCCTATGGTGGAAAAGGAAATATCTTCACATAAAAACTTCACAGAAGCATTCTCAGAAAATACTTTGTGATGTGTGTACTCAACTCACAGAGCTGGACATTTCTTTTGATACAGCAGTTTTGAAACATTCTTTTTGTAGAATCTGCAAGTGGATATTTGGATAGCCTTGAGGCATTCGTTGGAAAAGGGAATATCTTCCCATAAAAACTAGACAGAAGCATTCTCAGAAACTTCTTTGTCATGCTTGCATTCAACTCACGGATTTGAACATTCCTTTTAATAGAGCAGCTTTGAAACACTCTTTTTGTAGAATCTGTAAGTGGAAACTTGGAGGGCTTTGAGGCCTATGGTGAAAAAGGAAATATCTTCCCATAAAAACTAGACAGAAGAATTCTCAGAAACTTCTTTGTGATGTGTGCTCTCAAATCACAGAGTTGATCTTTTCTTTTGATAGAGCAGTTTTGAAACACTAGTTTTGTAGAGTCTGCAAGTGGGTATTTGGATAGCTTTGAGGATTTCTTTGGAAAAGGGAATATCTTCACATAAAAACTAGACAGAAGCATTCTCAGAAACTACTTTATGATGTTTGGATTCAACTCACAGAGTTGAATACTCCCTTTCATAGAGCAGTTTTGAAACACACTTTTTGTAGAATCTGTAAGTGGAAACTTGGAGTGCTTTGAGGCCTGTGGTGAAAAAGGAAATATCTTTCCATAAAAACTAGACAAAAGAATTCTCAGAAACTTCTTTGTGATGTGTGTTCTCATCTCACAGAGTTGAGCTTTTCTTTTGATAGAGCAGTTTTGAAAAACTCTTTTTGCAGAGTCTGCAAGTGGATATTTGGCTAGCTGTGATGAATTCAATGGAAACGGGAATATCTTCATGTAAAAACAAGACAGAAGCACTCTCAGAAACTTCTTTGTGAGGTTTGCATTCAACTGACAGATTTGAACATTCCCTATCATCGAACAGTTTTGAAACACTCTTTTTGTAGTATCTGGAAGTGGACATTTCAAGCGCTTTGAGGCCTACGGTGAAAAAGGAAATATCTTCACATAAAAACTAGACAGAAGCATTCTCAGAAAATACTTTGTGATGTGTGTACTCAACTCACAGAGTTGAACATTTCTTTGGAACGGCAGTTTTGAAACATTCTTTTTGTAGAATCTGCAAGTGGATATTTGGATAGCCTTGAGGCTTTCGTTGGGAACGGGAATATCTTCAAACAAAAACTAAACAGAAGCATTCTCAGAAGCTTCTTTGTGATGCTTGCATTCAACTCACAGATTTGAACATTCCTTTTAATAGTGCAGCTTTGAAACACTCTTTTTGTAGAATCTGTAAGTGGAAACTTGGAGAGCTTTGAGACCTATGGTGAAAAAGGAAATATCTTCCCATAAAAACTAGACAGAAGAATTCTCAGAAACTGCTTTGGGATGTGTGTTCTCAACTCACAGAGGTGCGCTTTTCTTTTGATAGAGCAGATTGAAACACTCTTTTTGTAGAGTCTGCAATTGGATATTTGGATAGCTTTGAGGATTTCGCTGGAAACGGGAATATCTTCACATAAAAACTAGACAGAATCATTCTCAGGAACTTCTTTATGAAGTTTGATTTCAACTCAAAGAGTTGAACACTCCCTTTCATAGGGCAGTTTTGAAACACACTTTTTCTACTATGTGGAAGTGGACATTTGGAGCTCTTTGAGGCCTATGGTGAAAAAGGAAATATCTTCACATAAAAACAAGACAGAAGCATTCTCTGAAACTTCTTTGCGGTGTATGTACTCAACTCACAGAGTTGAACATTTCTTTTGACACAGCGGTTTTGAAACTCTCTTTTTGTAGAGTCCGCAAGTTGATATTTGGATAGCTTTGAGGCTTTCGTTGGAAATGGGAGTATCTTCACATAAAAACTAGACAGAAGCATTCTCAGAAACTTCTTTGTGATGCTTGCATTCAACTCGCAGAGTTGAACATTCCTTTTCATAGAGCAGTTTTGAAACACTCTTTTTGAAGTATCTGAAACTGGAAATTTTAGCGCTTTGGGGCCTATGGTGAAAAAGAAATATCTTCCCATAAAAAATAGACAGAAGAATTCTCAGAAATTACTTTGTGATGTTTGCATTCAACTCACAGAGTTGAATATTCCCTTTCATAGAGCAGTTTTGAAACACTCTTTTTGTAGTATCTCGAAGTGGACATTTGAGCGCTTTGAGGCCTATGGTGAAAAAGGAAATATCTTTTCACATAAAAACCAGACAGAAGCATTCTCAGAAACTACTTTGAGATGTGTGCACTCACCACACAGAGTTGAACATTTCTTTTGATACAGCTTTTTTGAAAGATTCTTTTTGTAGAGTCTGCAAGTGGATATTTGGATAGCCTTGAGGCTTTCGTTGGAAACGGGAATATCTTCCCATAAAAACAAGACAGAAGCATTCTCAGAAACTTCTTTGTGATGCTTGCATTCAACTCACAGATTTGAACGTTCGTCTTAATAGAGCAGCTTTGAAACACTCTTTTTGTAGAATCTGTAAGTGGAAACTTGGAGAGCTTTGTGACCTATGGTGAAAAAGGAAATATCTTCCCATAAAAACTAGACAGAAGAATTCTCAGAAACTTCTTCGTGTTGTGCATTCTCAACTCACAGAGTTGAGCTTTACTTTTGATAGAGTAGTTTTGAAACACTATTTTTGTAGAGTATGCAAGTGGATATTTGGATAGCTTTGAAGATTTCGTTGGAAATGGGAATATCTTCACATAAAAACTAGACAGAAGCATTCTTAGGAGCTTCTTTATGATGTTTGCTTTCAACTCACAGAGCTGAACATTCCCTTTCATAGGGCAGTATTGAAACTCTCTTTTTGTACTATCTGGAAGTGGACATTTAGAGCGCTTTGAGGCCTATGGTGAAAAAGGAAATATCTTCACATAAAAAGTAGACAGAAGCATTCTCAGAAACTTCTTTGCGATGGGTGTACTCAACTCACAGAGTTGAACATTTCTTTTGACACAGCGGTTTTGAAACTCTCTTTTTGTAGAATCTGCCAGTTGATATTAGGATAACTTTGAGGCTTTTGTTGGAAATGGGAATATCATCACATAAAAACTAGAGAGAAGCATTCTCTGAAACTTCTTTGTGATGTTTTGATTGAACTCACAGAGCTGAATGTGCCTTTTCATAGAGCAGCTCTGAAACACTCTTTTTGCAGTATCTGGAAGGGGACACTTGATGGGCCTTTGGGCCTATGGTGAAAAAGGAAATATCTTCACATAAAAACTAGGCAGAAGCATTCTCTGAAACTTCTTTGTGATGTTTCGATTCAACTCACAGAGTTGAACATACCCTTTCATAGAGCAGTTCTGAAACACTCTTTTTATAGTATCTGGAAGGGGACAATTGGTGCGATTTTTTGCCTATCTTGAAAAAGGATATATCTTCACGTAAAAACTAGGCAGAAGCATTCTCAGAAACTTCTTTGTGATGTGTGTACTCAACTTACGGAGTTGAACCTTTCTTTGGATGCAGCAGTATTGAAACACACTTTTTGTAGTATCTGCAAGTGGATATTTTGTTATCTATGAGGCTTTCGTTGGAAATGGGAATATCTTCTCATAAAAACTAAACAGAAACATTCTCAGAAACTTCTTTATGATGCTTGCATTCAACTCACGGAGTTGAATATTCCTTTTCATAGAGCAGTTTTGAAACACTCTTTTTGTAGAATCTGTAAGTGGAAGCTTGGAGCGCTTTGAGGCCTATGGTGAAAAAGGAAATATCTTCCCATAAAAACTAGATGGAAGAATTCTCACAAACTTCCTTGTGATGTGTGCTCTCAACTGACAGAGTTGATCTTTTCTTTTGATAGAGCGGTTTTGAAACACTAGTTTGTAGAGTCTGCAAGTGGATATTTGGATTACCTTTGAGGATTTCATCGGAAACTGTTATATTTTCACATAAAAACTAGACAGAAGCATTCTCAGAAACTTCTTTGTTATGTTTGGACTCAACTCACAGAGTTGAATATTCCCTTTCATAGAGTAGTTTTGAAACACCCTTTTTGTAGTATCTGGAAGTGGACATTTGGAGCGCTTTGTGGCCTATGGTGAAAAAGGAAATATTTTCACATTAAAAACTAGACAGAACCATTCTCACAAACTACTTTGTGATATCTGTACTCAACCCACAGAGTTGAACTTTTATTTGATACAGCAGTTATGGAAGATTCTTTTTGTAGTATCTGCAAGGGGATATTTGGATAGCTTTGAGGACTTCCTTGCAAATGAGAATATCTTCTTATATAAACAAACAGAAGCATTCTCAGGAACTTCTTTATCATGTTTGTTTTCAACTCACAGAGTTGAACATTCCATTTCATAGGGCAGTTTTGAAATAATCTTTTTGTGCTGTCTGGAAACGAACATTTGGAGGGCTTTGAGGTCTATGGTGAGAAAGGAAATATCTTCACATAAAAACTAGACAGAAGCATTCTCAGAAACTTCTATGAGATGTGTGTACTCAACTCAGAGAGTTGAACATATCTTTTAATACAGCAGTTTTGAAACTCTCTTTGTGTAGAATCTGCAAGTTGATATTAGGATAACTTTGAGGCTTTCTTTGGAAAAGGGAATATCTTCACATAAAAACTACACAGAAGCATTCTCTGAAACTTCTATGTGATGTTTCGATTGAATGCACAGATCTGAACATGCCTTTTCATAGAGCAGTTCTGAAACACTCTATTTGTAGTAACTGGAAGGGGACACTTTGTGAGCTTTTGGGCCTTTGGTGAAAAAGGTAATATCTTCACGTAAAAACTAGGCAGAAGCAATCTCAGAAACTAGTTTGTGATGTAGGTACTCAACTAACGGAGTTGAACCTTTCCTTGTATACAGCAGTATTGAAACACTCTTTTTGAAGTATCTGCAAGTGGGTGTTTTGTTAGCTTTGAGGATTTCGTTGGAAACGGGAAAATATTCATATAAAAACGAAACAGAAGCATTCTCAGAAACTTCTTTTTGATGCTTGCATTCAACTCACAGAGTTGAACATTCATTTTCATAGAGCAGTTTTGAAACACTCTTCTTGAAGAATCTGTAAGTGGATGCTTGCAGCGCTTTGAGGCCTGTGTTGAAAAAGGTAAGAATCTTCCGATGAAAATTACGCAGAAGAATTCTAACAAATTTCTTTGTGATGTGTGTTCCCAACTCACAGATTTGATATTTTCGTTTCATAGAGCAGTTTTGAAACACTAGTTTTGTAGAGTCTGCAAGTGGATATTTTGGTAGCTTTGAGGATTTATTTGGAAAAGGGAATATCTTCACATAAAAAGTACACAGAAGCATTCTCAGAAACTTCTTTGTGATGTTTGGACTCAACTAACCGATTTGAATATTCCCTTTCATAGAGCACTTTTGAAACACTCTTTTTGGAGTATCTGGAAGAGGACATTTGGAGCGATTTGAGGCCTATGGTGAAAAAGGAAATATCTACCCAAGAAAAGTAGACAGAAACATTCTCAGAAACTTGTTTGTGATATGTGTACTCAACTAACACAGTTGAACCTTTCATTTGATAGAGCAGTTTTGAAACACTCTTTTTGTAGAATCTGCAAGTGGACACTTGGATAGCTTTGAATATTTCGTTGGAAACGGGAATATCTTCATATAAAAGTAGACAGAAGCATTCTCAGGAACTTCTTTGTGATATTTGCATTCAAGCCACAGAGTTGAACATTCCCTTTCATAGTGCAGGTTTGAAACACTCTTTTTGTAGTATCCGGAAATGGACATTTGGAGCACAATGAGGCCTATGGTGAAAAGGAAATATCTTCCCATAAAAACTAGACTGAAGCATTCTCAGAAACTTCTTTGTGATGTGTGAACTCAACTAACAAAGTTGAAACTTTCTTTAGATAGAGCAGTATTGAAACACTCTTTGTGTAGAATCTGAAATTGGATATATAGATAGCTTACAGGATTTAGTTGGAAAAGGGAATATCTTCATATAAAATCTAGACAGAAGCATTCTGAGAATCATCTTTCTGATGTTTGCATTCAAGTCACAGAGTTGAACATTCCTTTTCATAGAACAGGTTTGAAACACTCTTTTTGTAGTATCAGGAAGTGGACATTTGGAGCGCTCTGAGGCCGATGGCGAAAAAGGAAATCTATTCCCATAAAAACTAGACAGAAGCATTCTGAAAAACGTGTATTTGATGTGTGTACTCAACTAACAGAGTTGAACCTTTCTTTTGATAGAGCAGTTTTGAAATACTCTTTTTGTAGAATCTCCAAGTGGATATTTGGATAGCTTTGAGGATTACGGTGGAAACGGGAATATCTTAATATAAAAAGTGGACAGAAGCATTCTCAGAAAATCCTTTGTGATGTTCTGTATTCAAGTCACGGAGTTGAACATTCTCTTTCACAGAGCAGGTTTGAAACACACTTTTTGTAGTATCTGGAAGTGAACATTTGGAGCGCATTGAGGCCTATGCTGAAAAAGGAAATATCTTCCCATAAAAACTAGCCAGAAGCATTCTCAGAAACTTGTTTGTGATGTATGTACTCATCTAACAGAGTTGAACCTTTCTTTTGATAGAGCAGTTTTGAAACACTCTTTTTGTAGAATCTGCAACTGGATATTTGGATAGCTTTGAGGATTTCCTTGGAAACGGGAATATCTTCATATAAAATCTACATAGAAGCATTCTCAGAAACATCTTTGTGATTTTTGCATTCAAGTCACAGAGTTGAACATTCCCTTTCATAGAGCAGGTTTGAAACACTCTTTTTGTAGTATCTGGAAGTGGACATTTGGAGCGCATTGAGCCCTACAATGAAAAAGGAAATATCTTCCCTTAAAAACTAGACAGAAGTGTTCTCAGAAACTTGTTTATGATGTGTGCACTCAGCAAACGGAGTTCAACCTTTCTTTGATAGAGCAGTTTTGAAACACTCTTTTTGTAGAATCTGCAAGTGCATATTGAGATAGCTTTGAGGATTTCGTTGGAAACGGGAATATCTTAATGTAAACTGTAGACAGAAGCATTTTGAGAAAAATCTTTGTGATGCTTGCATTCAAGTCACAGAGTTGAACATTCCCTTTCATAGAGCAGGTTTGAAACCCTCTTTTTGTAGTATCTGGAATTGGACATTTGGTGCGCTATGAGGCCAATGGTGAAAAAGGAAATATCTTCACATAAAAACTAGACAGAGGCATTATCAGAAACTTCTATGTGATGTGTGTACTCATCTCAGAGGTTTGAACATTGCTTTTTTACAGTGGTTTTGAAGCTCTCTTTTTGTAGAATCTACAAGTATATATTGGGATATCTTTGAGGCTTTCATTGGAAACGGGAATATCTTCACATAAAAACTAGACAGAAGCATTCTCAGAAACTTCTTTGTGATGTGTGTACTCAACTGATAGAGTTGAAGCTTTCTTTTTATAGAGAAGTTTTGAAACACTCTTTTTGTAGATTCTGCAATTGGATATTTGGATAGTCTTGAGGATTTCATTGGAAACGGGAATATCTTCATATAAAAGTCAAACAGAAGCATTCTCAGAAACTTCTTTCTGATGTTTGCATTCAAGTCACAGAGTTGAACATTCCCTTTCACGGAGCAGGTTTCAAACAGTCTTTTTGTAGTATCTGGAAGTGGACATTTGGAGCGCTTTGAGGCCTATGGTGAAAAAGGAAATATATTCCCATAAAAACTAGACAGAAGGATTCTCTGAAACTTGTTTGTGATATGTGTACTCAATAATGGGAGTTGAACATTTCTTTTGATAGAGCAGTTGTCAAACACACTTTCAGTAAAAACTGCATCTGGATATTGGGATAGCTTTGAGGATTTCGTTGGGAACAGGAATTACTTCATATAAAATCTAGACAGAAGCATTCTCGGAAACTACTATGTGATGTTTGCATTCAAGTCACAGAGTTTAACATTCCCTTTCATAGAGCAGGTTTGAAACACTCTTTTTATAGTATCTGGAAGTGGACATTTGGAGCACTTCGAGGCCAATGGTGAAAAAGAAGTATTCTCCCCATAAAAACTAGACAGAAGCATTCTCAGAAACTTGTTTCTGATGTGTGTACTCAACTAACAGAGTTGAACCTTTCTTTTGATAGAGCAGTTTTGAAACACTCTTTTTGTAGGTTCTGTAAGTGGATATTTGGATAGATTTGAGGATTTCGGAGGAAACGGGAAAAACTTCATATAAAAAGGAGACAGAAGCATTTTAAGAAACTTCTTTGTGATGTTTGCATTCAAGTCCCAGAGTTGAACATTCCCTTCCATAGATCAGGTTTGAAACACTCTTTTTGTTGTATCTGGAAGTGGACATTTGGAGAGCTTTGAGGCCTATGTTGAAAAAGGAAACATCTTCCCATAAAAACTAGACAGAAGCATTCTCAGAAACTTGTTTGTCCTGTGTGTACTCAACTATCAGTTTTGAAGCTTTCTTTTAATAAAGCAGTTTCCAACTCCCTTTTAGAAGAATCTGCAAGTGGATATTTGGATAGCTTTGAGGATTTATTTGGAAACGGGAATAGCTTCATATAAAATGTAGACAGAAGTATTCTCGGAAACTACTTTGCGATGCTTGCATTCAAGTCACAGAGTTTAACATTCCCTTTCATAGAGCACGTTTGAAACACTCCTTTTATAGTATCTAGAAGTGGACATTTGGAGCGCTTTGAGGCCTATGGTGAAAAATAAAAATTCTTCCCATAAAATCTAGACTGAAGCATTCTCAGAAACTTGTTCCTGATGTGTACTCAACTAACAGAGTTGAACTTTTCTTTTGATAGGGCAGTTTTGAAACATCCTTTTTGTGGAATCTGCGATTGGATATTTGGATTGCATTGAGTATTTCGTTGGAAACGGGAATATCTCTATAAAAAAGAAGAAGCATTCTCAGAAACTTCTTTCTGATGTTTGCATTCAAGTCACAGAGATGAACATTCCCTTTCACAGAGCAGGTTTGAAACAGTCATTTTATAGTATCTGGAAGTGGACATTTGGATCGCTTTGAGGCCTATGGTGAAACAGGAAATATCTTCCCCTAAAATCTAGACAGAGGAATTCTCCGAAACTTGTTTGGGATGTGTGAACTCAACTAACAGTGTTGAACTTTTTTTTGATAGAGCAGTTTTCAAACACTCTTTTTGTAAAATCTGCAAGTGGATATTTGGATAGCTTTGAGGATTTCATTGGAAACGGGATTATCTTCATATAAAAAGTAGACAGAAGAGTTCTCAGAAAAGTCGTTGTGACGTTTGCATTCAAGTACCAGAGTTCAACATTCCCTTTCACAGAGCAGGTTTGAAACATTCTTTTTATAGTATCTGGTAGTGGACATTTGGAGCGCCTTGAGGCCTTTGTTGGAATAGCAGACCTCTTCCCATAAAAACAAGACAGAAGCATTCTCAGAAACTTGTTTGTCATGTGTTTAATCAACTAACAGTGTTGAACCTTTCTTTTATTAGATCAGTTTTCAAATCTCTTTTAGAAGAATCTGCAAGTGGATATTTGGATAGCTCTGAGGACTTTGTTGGAAACGGGAATAGCTTCATATAAAATGTAGACAGAAGTATTCTCGGAAACTACTTTGTGATGTTTGCATTCAACTCACAGAGTTTAACATTCCCTTCCATGGAGCAGGATTGAAAACCTTTTTCTATAGTATCTGGAAGTGGATATTTAGAGCGCTTTGAGGCCTATGGTAAAAAATAAAAATTCTTCCCATAAAATCTAGACTGAAGCATTCTCAGAAACTTGTTTCTGATGTGTGTACTCAACTAACAGAGTTGAACCTTTTTTTTGATAGAGCAGTTTTGAAACACACTTTTTGTGGAATCTGCAAGTGGATATTTGGATTGCTTTGAGGATTTCTTTGGAAAGGGGAATACATCTATATAAAAAGAAGAAGCATTCTCAGAAAATTCTTTCTGATGTTTGCATTCAAGTCACAGAGTTGAACATTTCATTTCACAGAGCAGGTTTGAAACAGACTTTTATAGTATCTGGAAGCAGACAGTTGGAGCGCTTTGAGGCCTATTGTGGAATAGGAAATCTCTTCCCATAAAAACTAGACAGAAGCATTCTCAGAACCTTGTTTGTCATGTGCCTAGTCAACTAACAGAGTTGAACCTTTCTTTTGATAGAGCCGATCTGAAACACTCTGTTTGTAGAATCTGCAAGTGGATATTTGGATAGATTTGAAGATATCGTTGGAAACGGGAATATCATCATATAAAATCTAGACAGATGCATTCTCAGAAACTTCTTTATGATGATTGCATTCAAGTCACAGAGTTCAATATTCCCTTTCATAGAGCAGGTTTCAAACACTCTTTTTGTAGGATCTGGAAGTTGACATTTAGAGCGCTTTGAGGCCTACGGTGAAAAAGGAAATTTCTTCCCATAAAAAGTAGACAGAAGCATTCTCAGGAACTTTTTTGTGATGTGTGTACACAACTAACAGAGTTGACCCTTTCTTTTGAGAGAGCAGTTTTGAAACACTCTTCTTGTAGGATCTGCAAGTGGATATTTGGATAGCTTTGAGGATTTCGGAGGAAACGGGAATATCTTTATATAAAAAGCAGACAGTAGCATTTTCAGAAACTTCTTTGTGATGTACGCATTCAAGTCCCAGAGTTGAACATTCCCTTCCGTGGAGCAGGTTTGAAACACTCTTTTTGTTGTATCTGGAAATGGACATTTGGAGCGCTTTGAGGCCTACGGTGAAAAAGGAAACATCTTCCCATAAAAACTAGACAGAAGCATTCTCAGAAACTTGTTTGTCATCTGTGTACTCAACTAACAGTGTTGGAGCTTTCTTTTAATGAAGCAGTTTTCAAACTCTCTTTTAGAAGAATCTGCAAGTGGATATTTGGATAGCGTTGAGGATTTCGTTGGAAACGGGAATAGCTTCATATAAAATCTCGACAGAAGTATTCTCAGAAACTACTTTGTGATGTTTGCATTCAAGTCACAGAGTTTAACAATACCTTTCATAGAGAAGGTATGAAACACTCTTTTGGTGGTATCTGGAAGTGGACATTTGGAGCGCTTGTGGCCTATGGTGAAAAATAAAACTTCTTCCCATAAAAACAAGACTGAAGCATTCTCAGAAACTTGTTCCTCATGAGTGTACTCAACTAATAGAGTTGAACCTTTCTTTTGATAGAGCAGATTCAAACACGATTTTGTGGAATCTGCAAGTGGATACTTGGATTGCTTTGAGGATTTCGATGGAAACGGGAATATCTCTATATAAAAAGAAGAAGCATCCTCAGAAACCTCTTTATGATGTTTGCATTCAAGTCACAGAGTTGAACATTCCCTTTCACAGAGCAGGTATGAAACAGTCTTTTTATAATATATGGAAGTGGACATTTGGAGCGATTTGAGGCCTATGGTGAAAAAGGAAATATCTTCCCATAAAATCTAGACAGAAGGATTCTCAGAAACTTGTTTGGGATGTGTGTACTCAACTAACAGTGTTGAAACTTTGTTTTGATAGAGCAGCTTTCAAACACTCTTTTTGTAAAATCTGCAAGTGGATATTTGGACAGCTTTGAGGATTTCGTTGGAAACGGGATTCTCTTCATATAAAAAGTAGACGTAAGCCTTCTGAGAAACGTCTTTGTGATGTTTCCATTCAAGTCTCAGAGTTGAACATTCCCTTTCATAGAGCAGGTTTGAAACACTCATTTTGTAGTATCTGGAAGTGGACATTTGGAGCGCTTTGAGGCCTATGGTGGAATAGGAAATCTCTTCCCAAAAAAACTAGACAGAAGCATTCTCAGAAACTTGTTTGTCATGTGTCTACTCAACTAACAGAGTTGAACCTTTCTCTTGATAGAGCAGATCGGAAACACTCTGTTTGTAGAATCTGCAAGTGGATATTTGCATAGATTTGAGGATTTCGTTGGAAACGGGAATATCGTCATATGAAATCTAGACGGTTGCTTTCTCAGAAACTTCGTTATGATGATTGCATTCAAGTCACAGAGTTGAACATTCCCTTTCATGGAGCAGGTATGAAACACTCTTTTTGTAGAATCTGGAAGTGGACATTTGGAGTGCTTTGAGGCCTATGGTGAAAAAGGAAATCTCTTCCCATAAAAACTAGACAGAAGCATTCTCAGAAACTTGTTTGTCATGTGTGTACTCAACTAACAGTGTTGAAGCTTTCTTTTAATGAAGCAGTTTTCAAACTCTCTTTTAAAAGAATCTGGAAGTGGATATTTTGATAGCGTTCAGGATTTCATTGGAAACGGGAATAGCTTCATATAAAATGTCGACAGAAGTATTCTCAGAAACTACTTTGTGATGTTTGCATTCAAGTCACAGAGTTTAACAATCCCTTTCATAGAGAAGGTTTGAAACACTCTTTTTGTGGTATCTGGAAGTGGACATTTGGAGCGCTTGTGGTCTATGGTGAAAAATAAAACTTCTTCCCATAAAAACTAGACTGAAGCATTCTCAGAAACTTGTTCCTCATGAGTGTACTAAATTAATAGAGTTGAACCTTTCTTTTGGTAGAGCAGATTCAAAACACGCTTTTTGTGGAATCTGCAAGTGGATACTTGGATTGCTTTGAGGATTTCGTTGGAAACGGGAATATCTCTATATAAAAAGAAGAAGCATCCTCAGAAACTTCTTTATGATGTTTGCATTCAAGTCACAGAGTTGAACATTCCCTTTCACAGAGCAGGTACGAAACAGTCTTTTTATCGTATCTGGAAGTGGACATTTGGAGCGCTTTGAGGCCTATGGTGAAAAAGGAAATATCTTCCCATAAAATCTAGACAGAAGGATTCTCAGAAACTTGTTTGGGATGTGTGTACTCAACTAACAGTGTTGAAACTTTGTTTTGATAGAGCAGCTTTCAAACACTCTTTTTGTAAAATCTGCAAGTGGATATTTGGATAGCTTTGAGGATTTCATTGGAAACGGGATTATCTTCATATAAAAAGTAGACGTAAGCTTTCTGAGATACGTCTTTGTGATGTTCCCATTCAAGTCTCAGAGTTGAACATTCCCATTCATAGACCAGGTTTGAAACACTCTTTTTGTAGAATCTGGAAGTGGACATTTGGAGCGCTTTGAGGCCTCTGGTGGAATAGGAAATCTCTTCCCATAAAAACTAGACAGAAGTATTCTCAGAAACTTGTTTGTCATGTGTCTACTCAACTAACAGAGTTGAACCTTTCTCTTGATAGAGCAGATCGGAAACACTCCGTTTGTAGAATCTGCAAGTGGATATTTGCATAGCTTTGAGGATTTCGTTGGAAACGGGAATATCATCATATAAAATCGAGGCACATGCATTCTCAGAAACTTCGTTATGATGATTGCATTCAAGACACAGGGTTGAACATTCCCTTTCATAGAGCAGGTATGAAACACTCTTTTTGTAGAATCTGAAGTGGACATTTGGAGCGCTTGGAGGCCTATGGTGAAAAAGGAAATCTCTTCCCATAAAAACTAGACAGAAGCATTCTCAGAAACTTGTTTTTGATGTGTGTACTCAAGTAACAGAGTTGAACCTTTCTTTCGATAGAGCAGTTTTGAAACACTCTTGTTATACAATCCGCAAGTGGATATTTGGATTGCTTTGAGGATTTCGTTGGAAACAGGATTATCTCCATATGAAAAGAAGAAGCATCTCAGAAACTTCTTTGTGATGTTTAATTTCAAGTCACAGAGTTGAGCATTCCCTTTTACAGAGCAGGTTTGAAACAGTCTTTTTCTAGTATCTGGAAGTGGACATTCCGAAGGCTTTGAGGCCTATGGTGAAAAAGGAAATCTCTTCCCATAAAAAGTAGACAGAAGCATTCTCAGAAACTTGTTTGTGATGTGGGTACTCAACTAACAGGGTTGACCCTTTCTTTTGAGAGAGCAGATTTGAAACACTCTTTTTGCAGGATCTGCAAGTGGATATTTGGATAGCTTTGAGGATTTCGGAGGAAACGGGAATATCTTTATATAAAAAGCAGACAGAAGCATTTTCAGAAACTTCATTGTGATGTACGCATTCAAGTCCCAGAGTTGAACATTCCCTTCCGTGGAGCAGGTTTCAAACACTCTTTTTGTTGTATCTGGAAATGGACATTTGGAGCGCTTTGAGGCCTACGGTGAAAAAGGAAACATCTTCACATAAAAACTAGACAGAAGCATTCTCAGAAACTTGTTTGTCATGTGTGTAATCAACTAACAGTGTTGAAGCTTTCTTTTAATGAAGCAGTTTTCAAACTCTCTTTTAGAAGAATCTGCAAGTGGATATTTGGATAGCGTTGAGGATTTCGTTGGAAACGGGAATAGCTTCATATAAAATCTCGACAGAAGTATTCTCAGAATCTACTTTGTGATGTTTGCATTCAAGTCACAGAGTTTAACAATCCCTTTCATAGAGCAGGTTTGAAACACTCTTTTGGTGGTATCTGGAAGTGGGCATTTGGAGCGCTTGTGGCGTATGGTGAAAAATAAAACTTCTTCCCATGAAAACTAGACTGAAGCAGTCTCAGAAACTTGTTCCTCATCTGTGTACTCAACTAATAGAATTGAGCCTTTCTTTTGATAGAGCAGATTCGAAACACGCTTTTTGTGGAATCTGCAAGTGGATACTTGGATTGCTTTGGGGATTTCGTTGAAAACGGGAATATCTCTATATAGAAAGAAGAAGCATCCTCAGAAACTTCTTTGTGATGTTTGCGTTCAAGTCACAGAGTTGAACATTCCCTTTCATAGAGCAGGTTTGAAACAGTCTTTTTATAATATCTGGAAGTGGACATTTGGATTGCTTTGAGGCCTACGGTAAAAAAGAAAATATCTTCCCATAAAATCTAGACAGAATGATTCTCAGAAACTTGTTTGGGATGTGTGTACTCAACTAACAGTGTTGGAACTTTATTTTGATAGAGCAGCTTTCAAACACTCTTTTTGTAAAATCTGCAAGTGGATATTTGGACAGCTTTGAGGATTTCGTTGGAAACGGGATTATCTTCATATAAAAAGTAGACGTAAGCCTTCTGAGAAACGTCTTTGTGATGTTTCCATTCAACTCTCAGATTTGAACATTCCCTTTCATAGAGCAGGTTTGAAACACGCTTTTTGTAGTACCTGGAAGTGGACATTTGGAGCGCTTTGAGGCCTATGGTGGATAGGAAATCTCTTCCCATAAAAACTAGTCAGAAGCATTCTCAGAAACTTGTTTGTCATGTGTCTACTCAACTAACAGAGTTGAACCTTTCTCTTGATAGAGCAGATGGGAAACACTCTGTTTGTAGAATCTGCAAGTGGATATTTGCACAGCTTTGAGGATGTCGTTGGAAACGCGAATATCCTCATATAAAATCGAGGCACATGCATTCTCAGAAACTTCTTTATGATGATTGCATTCAAGTCACAGGGTTGAACATTCCCTTTCATAGAGCTGGTATGAAACACTCTTTTTGTGGAATCTGGAAGTGGACATTTGGAGCGCTTTGGGGCCTATGGTGAAAAAGGAAATCTCTTCCCATAAAAACTAGACAGAAGCATTCTCAGAAACTTGTTTTTGATGTGTGTACTCAACTAACAGAGTTGAACCTTTCTTTTGATAGAGCAGTTTTGAAACACTCTTGTTATAGAATCTGCAAGTGGATATTTGGATTGCTTTGAGGATTTCGTTGGAAACGGGATTATCTCCATATGAAAAGAAGAAGCATCTCAGAAACTTCTTTGTGATGTTTGCTTTCAAGTCACAGAGTTGAGCATTCCCTTTTACAGAGCAGGTTTGAAACAGTCTTTTTCTAGTATCTGGAAGTGGACATTCCGAAGGCTTTGAGGCCTATGGTGAAAAAGGAAATCTCTTCCCATAAAAAGTAGACAGAAGCATTCTCAGAAACTTGTTTGTGATGTGTGTACTCAACTAACAGAGTTGACCCTTTCTTTTGAGAGAGCAGTTTGGAAACACTCTTTTTGTAGGATCTGCAAGTGGATATTTGGATAGCTTTGAGGATTTTGGACGAAACGGGACTATCTTTATATAAAAAGCAGACAGAAGCATTTTCAGAAACTTCTTTGTGATGTACGCATTCAAGCCCCAGAGTTGAACATTCCCTTCCATGGAGCAGGTTTGAAACACTCTTTTTGTTGTATCTGGAAATGGACATTTGGAGCGCTTTGAGGCCTACGGTGAAAAAGGAAACATCTTCACATAAAAACTAGACAGAAGCATTCTCAGAAACTTGTTTGTCATGTGTGTACTCAACTAACAGTGTTGAAGATTTCTTTTAATGAAGCAGTTTTCAAACTCTCTTTTAGAAGAATCTGCAAGTGGTTATTTGGATAGCGTTGAGGATTTCGTTGGAAACGGGAATAGCTTCATATAAAATCTCGACAGAAGTATTCTCAGAAACTGATTTGTGATGTTTGCATTCAAGTCACAGAGTTTAACAATCCCTTTCATAGAGCAGGTTTGAAACACTCTTTTGGTGGTATCTGGAAGTGGGCATTTGGAGCGCTTGTGCCGTATGGTGAAAAATAAAACTTCTTCCCATAAAAACTAGACTGAAGCCTTCTCAGAAACTTGATCCTCATGTGTGTACTCAACTAATAGAGTTGAACCTTTCTCTTGATAGAGCAGATTCCAAACACGCTTTTTGTGGAATCTGCAAGTGGATAGTTGCATTGCTTTGAGGATTTCGTTGGAAACGGGAATATCTCCATATAGAAAGAAGAAGCATCCTCAGAAACTTCTTTATGATGTTTGCATTCAAGTCACAGAGTTGAACATTCCGTTTCACACAGCAGGTTTGACACAGTCTTTTTATAGTATCTGGAAGTGGACATTTGGAGCGCTTTGAGGCCTACGGTGAAAAAGGAAATATCTTCCCATAAAATAGACAGAAGGATTCTCAGAAACTTGTTTGGGATGTGTGTACTCAACTAACACTGTTGAAACTTTGTTTTGATACAGCAGCTTTCAGACACTCTTTTTGTAAAATCTGCAAGTGGATATTTGGACAGCTTTGAGGATTTCGTTGGAAACGGGATTCTCTTCATATAAAAAGTAGACGTAAGCCTTCTGAGAAACGTCTTTGTGATGTTTCCATTCAAGTCTCAGAGTTGAACATTCCCTTTCATAGAGCAGGTTTGAAACACGCTTTTTGTAGTATCTGGAAGTGTACATTTGGAGCGCTTTGAGGCCTATTGTGGATAGGAAATCTCTTCCCATAAAAACTAGACAGAAGCATTCTCAGAAACTTGTTTGTCATGTGTCTACTCAACTAACAGAGTTGAACTTTTCTCTTGATAGAGCAGATCGGAAACACTCTGTTTGTAGAATCTGCAAGTGGATATTTGCATAGCTTTGAGGATGTCGTTGGAAACGGGAATATCCTCATATAAAATCGGGACAGATGCATTCTCAGAAACTTCTTTATGATGATTGCATTCAAGTCACAGAGTTGAACATTCCCTTTCATAGAGCAGGTATGAAACACTCTTTTTGTAGAATCTGGAAGTGGACATTTGGAGCGCTTGGAGGCCTATGGTGAAAAAGGAAATCTCTTCCCATAAAAACTAGACAGAAGCATTCTCTGAAACAAGTTTTTGATGTGTGTACTCAACTAACAGAGTTGAACCTTTCTTTTGATAGAGCAGTTTTGAAACACTCTTGTTATAGAATCTGCAAGTGGATATTTGGATTGCTTTGAGGATTTCGTTGGAAATGGGATTATCTCCATATGAAAAGAAGAAGCATCTCAGAAACTTCTTTGTGATGTTTGCTTTCAACTCACAGAGTTGAGCATTCCCTTTTACAGAGCAGGTTTGAAACAGTCTTTTTCTAGTATCTGGAAGTGGACATTCCGAAGGCTTTGAGGCCTATGGTGAAAAAGGAAATCTCTTCCCATAAAAAGTAGACAGAAGCATTCTCAGAAACTTGTTTGTGATGTGTGTACTCAACTCACAGAGTTGACCCTTTCTTTTGAGAGAGCAGTTTGGAAACACTCTTTTTGTAGGATCTGCAAATGGATATTTGGATAGCTTTGAGGATTTCGGAGGAAACGGGAATATCTTTATATAAAAAGCATACGGAAGCATTTTCAGAAACTTCTTTGTGATGTACGCATTCAAGTCCCAGAGTTGAACATTCCCTTCCGTGGAGCAGGTTTGAAACACTCTTTTTGTTGTATCTGGAAATGGACATTTGGAGCGCTTTGAGGCCTACGGTGAAAAAGGAAACATCTTCACATAAAAACTAGACAGAAGCATTCTCAGAAACTTGTTTGTCAAGTGTGTAATCAACTAACAGTGTTGAAGCTTTCTTTTAATGAAGCAGTTTTCTTTTTTTTTTTACGTAACAATTTTCTACTTTATTTCAGTACAATTTTCAACATACAGTCTACTATTTATCAAGATATTTGAAGACTTACAACAAAATTTCTATAGACTACTTGCAAACAGTAAAATTTAAGTAAAATGCTTACATTCTTATTTGAAAACAAAAATCAGGTAAAAAAAAAAACGGTGGGTGCAAGTTCTGCTCTGTTGTAATCTTACTTCATATTTATTATTCCTTTTCTTCCTTGCATCTGTCCTTCTTTTCTTCATTATTTTCCATGGTCTCTTCTTCATCTTCAACAATCCCATCCCCTTGGTATTTGTCATGATTCCATTTAGGACTGCTACCTGATTTTTTGAAGTTAAAGCGCCCTCTGCCACGTTGAAAAGTACCACGACCTCTTCCTCTTTTGGCCCAATAATCCACACCATCATCTCTGTCGTCATGAAAGGTTCCTCGTGGTCGGCTAACTCCTGCAAAGCCTGAGTATTCTTTCATTTCATGGTGAGTTTTAAATTCTTCTTCTCTTTCCTTCTTACTCTCCTTTTCTTCTCGAGAACTGGGAGAAGAAGGTGATGCTGAAGAGGATGAAGATAGAGAATGATCTTGCTCTCTTTTATGTTTACTGTCATCTTTGTAAGATTTGTATTCCTTGTAATCTTTCGGAGTTTTTTCCTGCTTTCTTGATCCCCTGGATTCCCTGGAGCCCTTGGAATCTCCCCGTTCTTTACTTCTTTCTTTTCTACGGTGATCAATGTCATGTCGAAGGTCAGCAGAGTCACACCTTAATTTTTTATCTCCCTTTTGATTTTCTTCTTTAAAAACTCTCTCTTCCCCTGCTAAACGGGTATCCTTCCTCAGGGTACTTGGTGAGATGTCAATTCTCCTGTGTATTTCAGGGCTCTTTTGCCGAGTACTATGTTCTTCAGTGGCTTTCTGATACGAAGTGAACCGCTCGCTTAGGGTCATTGCAGCTGACTTGAAGTATTGCTCTTTAACATGATGAACCAAGGACACAATGTGTTGAATAAATGACTCTGAAGTGCTTTTGCTGGCCTGTGGCAACTTAATGTGGTCAAAGATGGATCGGAATTCTTGCTCCTTCTTGACAGAATGGACAAGTGTACTAGCAAGCAGCCTGTCTTTAGTCAAGGAAGCAGGTCTGTTAGAATCATCAAGAGGAACGGGTGCCATTTTGAGTTTGACTTCAGGACGGTGAGAATCACTCGCTATCATTTTGATCCTAAGTGGGCTTTCCTCTCTGAAGGTAGACTTTTCTCGTGCATCCAGATTCTTGTGTAGAGGGGGACTGTAATCAAAGAGGTCTTTGAGCTTTTCAGACTTTACCTGCTCAGGTGACTGAGTTTCTTTCTTTACTGTTATTCTTTCAGAATTTTTGTCTTCTTCTTTGTGCTTATCTTTTGTAGTGCTAGGCCTTTCCACCACATATCCAGTCTCTTTATGTTTATCATTTTTTTCTTCTCTAAATCCATCACTTTCTCTATTGCCTTTCAGTGAAACTTTGGACTTGTACTTGAGTCCTTCCTCCTCAGTATTCCGGTGAGATGCAGTAGCAAAACTTTTACCCTGATCTGCGAGGACTGACTTCCTGAACTGTCTATAATCCTCTGTCTCCTCTGTGTCATCCCCTTCTGAATCATTAAACTTTTGTTTTCCAGACTCTTTATCACTGAAGTAATCTAGAGCTTCCTGATCTTCCCATTCTCCCTCTGCCCTCCCTTTCTCTGATCCTTTCTCTTTTGAAGCCTCTTTATCCCTGGTATTACCCCTATCAAGCAGGAATACTCTAGACTCTTCATCTGTGAACCTTTTTAAGAACTTCCCAGTCTTTGCAGTTTCCTGATCTCCACCATCAGGATAAAACGAGGAACGGCCCCTAGACTCATCTCTTGGAGCATTCTGTGGTGCGATTGTCTTTGCAGGACTTCTTCGTGAAGGGATGTGATGAATTGGACTATTCTGAGAAGGACTGTATCGACTAGATCCATTTCCAACAGAACCAGACCCAGACCTTTCAGGACTATGCTGAATGGAATGTGAATGCTGAGAAGGAGTATTTTTTGCAGAGTGAACTGTACTGAGCATGGGAGCATCAGAGCAAGATGAACTCTGACTAGGTGGTGTAGCAATAGGTGAAGGACTATGGGGTGATCTAGGACTATATCATAAGCTGAAAGGCCAGGCCAAATATCACCGCATGTGGCTGACGACTTATTAAATTCATCGATAGACTCAGATGAGTCATGTTCAAATGTATCTTTCGGTTCCTCCTGTGATTTACTTTTCAACGGACTCTCTTCTTGGAGTTCCCCTTCAGCTTTTTTGGTTTGTTTTTCCTGAGACCCTCGTCTTTTAGAAACAGGAGATTTGCTATATGGGGATGAAGAACGAGAAGAGGATGATCTTGGAGACCTAGAAGATCTATATGACCGGCGAGATCTGCTTCTGGATCTTTGAGAAGAAACGGATCTTCTTTTTGGACTCCTGGAACGTGAACGACCTCGTCTAGGACTCCTAGAGTGCCTTCTATTCCAGACAGGTCTATAACCACCTCGATGATATCTACCTCCTCCTCCTTGATAATACCCTCTACCCCTTCCTCTGTACCCATAAGGTCGTCTCATTGCTCTATTATTTCTATAATCACGACGATAATCTCTAGAATACATACGATCTCTACTACGAGACCTTGAATATGTTCTGGAACGAGACCTGTATCGCTTCTTTCTAGAATGAGATCTTGATCTTGATCGAGAACTAGACTGTGATCTAGACTTTGACCTTGAAGAATGTGATCTAGAATTGGAGCGACCCATTTCTTTTCTCCTTGGGTTTATGCAGGATCAAGAAGTCAAGTGAAGTCTTTGAGATACTGTAAAAATTCTTCCTGGAGAGAATGCTCTGAGAAATTAAACTCTAAATTCGAATTCCTGACACGCCGAATCGCGGTTACGGGAATTTATCTCCGTTGCAACCACACAGCGGCCATTTCCCGATTCAAGAATGCGAGGAAAACTATAGAGCTACCTGAAGCAGTTTTCAAACTCTCTTTTAGAAGAATCTGCAAGTGGATATTTGGATAGCGTTGAGGATTTCGTTGGAAACGGGAATAGCTTCATATAAAATCTCGACAGAAGTATTCTCAGAAACTACTTTGTGATGTTTGCATTCAAGTCACAGAGTTTAACAATCCCTTTCATAGAGCAGGTTTGAAACACTCTTTTTGTGGTATCTGGAAGTGGGCATTTGGAGCGCTTGTGGCCTATGGTGATAAATAAAACTTCATCCTATGAAAACCAGACTGAAGCATTCTCAGAAACTTGTTCCTCATGTGTGTACTGAACTAATAGAGTTGAACCTTTCTTTTGATAGAGCAGATTCGAAACACGCTTTTTGTGGAATCTGCAAGTGGATACTTGGATTGCTTTGAGGATTTCGTTGGAAACGGGAATATCTCTATATAGAAAGAAGAAGCATCCTCAGAAACTTCTTTATGACGTTTGCATTCAAGTCACAGAGTTGAACATTCCCTTTCACAGAGCAGGTTTGAAACAGTCTTTTTATAGTATCTGGAAGTGGACATTTGGAGCGCTTTGAGGCCTATGGTGAAAAAGGAAATATCTTCCCATAAAATCTAGACAGAAGGATTCTCAGAAACTTATTTGGGATGTCTGTACTCAACTAACAGTGTTGAAAGTTTGTTTTGATAGAGCAGCTTTCACACACTCTTTTTGTAAACTCTGCAAGTGGATATTTGGACAGCTTTGAGGATTTCGTTGGAAACGGGATTCTCTTCATATAAAAAGTAGACGTAAGCCTTCTGAGAAACGTCTTTGTGATGTTTCCATTCAAGTCTCAGAGTTGAACATTCCCTTTCATAGAGCAGATTTGAAACACGCTTTTTGTAGTATCTGGAAGTGGACATTTGGAGCGCTTTGAGGCCTATTGTGGATAGGAAATCTCTTCCCATAAAAACTAGACAGAAGCATTCTCAAAAACTTGTTTGTCATGTGTCTACTCAACTAACAGAGTTGAACCTTTCTCTTGATAGAGCAGACCAGAAACACACTGTTTGTAGAATCTGCAAGTGGATATTTGTATAGCTTTGAGAATTTCGTTGGAAACGGGAATATCATCATATAAAATCTAGACAGATGCATTCTCAGAAACTTCTTTATCATGATTGCATTCAAGTCACGGAGTTGAACTTTCCCTTTCATAGAGCAGGTATGAAACACTCTTTCTGTAGAATCTGGAAGTGGACATTTGGAGCGCTTTGAGGCCTATGGTGAAAAAGGAAATCTCTTCCCATAAAAACAAGACAGAAGCATTCTCAGAAACTTGCTTGTCATGTGTCTACTCAACTAACAGAGTTGAACCTTTCTCTTGATAGAGCAGATCGGAAACACTCTGTTTCTAGAATCTGCAAGTGGATATTTGCATAGCTTAGAGGATTTCGTTGGAAACGGGAATATCCTCATATATAATCTAGACAGATGCATTCTCAGAAACTTCTTTATGATGATTGCATTCAAGTCACAGAGTTGAACATTCCCTTTCATAGAGCAGGTATGAAACACTCTTTTTGTAGAATCTGGAAAGGGACATTTGTAGTGCTTTGTGGCCTATGGTGAAAAAGGAAATCTCTTCCCATAAAAACTAGACAGAAGCATTATCAGAAACCTGTTTTTGATGTGTGTACTCAACTAACAGAGTTGAACCTTTCTTTTGATAGAGCAGTTTTGAAACACTCTTGTTATAGAATCTGCAAGTGGATATTTGGATTGCTTTGAGGATTTCGTTGGAAACGGGATTATCTCGATATGAAAAGAAGAAGCATTCTCAGAAACTTCTTTGTGATGTTTGCTTTCAACTCACAGAGTTGAGCATTCCCTTTTACAGAGCAGGTTTGAAACAGTCTTTTTCTAGTATCTGGAAGTGGACATTCCGAAGGCTTTGAGGCCTATGGTGAAAAAGGAAATCTCTTCCCATAAAAAGTAGACAGAAGCATTCTCAGAAACTTGTTTGTGATGTGTGTACTCAACTAACAGAGTTCGCCCTTTCTTTTGAGAGAGCAGTTTTGAAACACTCTTTTTGTAGGATCTGCAAGTGGATATTTGGATAGCTTTGAGGATTTCGGAGGAAACGGGAATATCTTTATATAAAAAGCAGACAGAAGCATTTTCAGAAACTTCTTTTGTGATGTACGCATTCAAGTCCCAGAGTTGAACATTCCCTTCCGTGGAGCAGGTTTGAAACACTCTTTTTGTTGTATCTGGAAATGGACATTTGGAGCGCTTTGAGGCCTACGGTGAAAAAGGAAATATCTTCCCATAAAAACTAGAGAGAAACATTCTCAGAAACTTGTTTGTCATGTGTGTAATCAACTAACAGTGTTGAAGCTTTCTTTTAATGAAGCAGTTTTCAAACTCTCTTTTAGAAGAATCTGCAAGTGGGTATTTGGATAGCGATGAGGATTTCGTTGGAAACGGGAATAGCTTCATATAAAATCTCGACAGAAGTATTCTCAGAAACTGATTTGTGATGTTTGCATTCAAGTCACAGGGTTTAACAATCCCTTTCATAGAGCAGGTTTTAAACAATCTTTTGGTGGTATCTGAAAGTGGGCATTTGGAGGGCTTGTGGCCTATGGTGATAAATAAGACTTCTTCCCATAAAAACTAGACAGAAGCATTCTCAGAAACTTGTTCCTCATGAGTGTACTCAACTAATAGAGTTGAACCTTTCTTTTGATACAGCAGATTCGAAACACGCTTTTTGTGGAATCTGCAAGTGGATACTTGGATTGCTTTGAGGATTTCGTTGGAAACGGGAATATCTCTATATAGAAAGAAGAAGCATCCTCAGAAACTTCTTTATGACGTTTGCATTCAAGTCACAGGGTTAAACATTCCCTTTCACAGAGCAGGTTTGAAACAGTCTTTTTATAGTATCTGGAAGTGGACATTTGGAGCGCTTTGAGGCCTATGGTGAAAAAGGAAATATCTTCCCATAAAATCTAGACAGAAGGATTCTCAGAAACTTGTTTGGGATGTCTGTACTCAACTAACAGTGTTGAAACTTTGTTTTGATAGAGCAGTTTTCAGACACTCTTTTTGTAAAATCTGCAAGTGGATATTTGGACAGCTTTGAGGATTTCTTTGGAAACCGAATTCTCTTGATATAAAAAGTAGACGTAAGCCTTCTGAGAAACGTCTTTGTGATGTTTCCATTCAAGTCTCAGAGTTGAACATTCCCTTTTATAGAGCAGGTTTGAAACACGCTTTTTGTAGTATCTGGAAGTGGACATTTGGAGCGCTTTGAGGCCTATTGTGGATAGGAAATCTCTTCCCATAAAAACTAGACAGAAGCATTCTCAGAAACTTGGATGCCAAAGGTAGAAAAGGAAATATCTTCGTATAATAGCAAGACAAAATCATTCCCAGTAACTGCGTAGTGATGTGTGGGTTTAACTCACAGAGATTAACCTTTCTTTTCATACAGCATTCTGGAAACACTCAGTTTCTAAAGTCTGCAATTGGATATTTGGACCTATTAGATGCCTTCGTTGGAAAGGAGATTTCTTAATATAATGCTAGAGAGAAGAATTCTTAGTAAATTCTTTGAGTTGTGTGTATTCAACAGAAAGAGTTGAACCTTCCTTTAGACAGAGCAGATTTGAAACACTCTTTTTGTGCAATTTGCAAGTGGAGATTTCAAGCGCTTTAAGGCAAATGGCAGAAAAGGAAATGTCTTTGCTTCAAAACTAGACAGAATCATTCCCACAAACTGCGTTGTGATGTGTGCGTTCAACTCACAGAGTTTAACCTTTCTTTTCATAGAGCCGTTTGTAAGCGCTCTGTTTGTCAAGGCTGCAAGTGGATATTCTGACCTCTTTGTGGACCTCGTTGGAAACGTGATTTCTTCCTATAATACTAGACAGAAGAATTCTCAGTAACTTCCTTGTGTTGTGTGTATTCAACTCACAGAGTTGAACGATCCTTTACACAGAGAAGATTTGAGACACTCTCTTTGTGGAATTCGTAACTGGAGATTTCAGCCACTTTGAGGTCAATGGTAGAAAAGGAAATATCTTCGTATAAAAACTACACAGAATGATTCTCAGAAACTTCTCTGTGATGTGTGCGTTCAAATCACAGAGTTTAACTTTTCTTTTCATAGAGCAGTTTGGAAACACTCTGTTTGTAAAGTCTGCAAGTGGATATATTGACCTCTTTGAGACCTTCGTTGGAAACGGGTTTTTTTCATGTAAGGCTAGACAGAGGAATTCCCAGTAACTTCCTTGTGTTGTGTGCATTCAACTCACAGAGTTGAATGATTCTTTACACAGAGCAGATTTGAAACACTCTTTTTCTGGAATTTGCAAGTGGAGATTTCAGCCGCTTTGAGGTCAATGGTAGAAAAGTAAATATCTTCGTATAAAAACTAGACAGAATGATTCTCAGAAACTCCTTTGTGATGTGTGCGTTCAACTCACAGAGTTTAACCTTTCTTTTCATAGAGCAGTTAGGAAACACTCTGTTTGTGAAGTCTGCCAGTGGATATTTGGACCTCTTTGAGGCCTTCCTTGGAAACGGGATTTCTTCATATTATGCTAGACAGATTTCTCAGTAACTACTTTGTGTTGTGTGTATCCAACTAACGGAGTTCAACCCTCCTTTAGACAGAGTAGATTTGAAACACTCTTTTTGTGGAATTTGCAAGTGGAGATTTCAAGCGCTTCAATGCCAATGGTAGGAAAGGAAATATCTTCCTATAAAAACAAGACAAAATCATTCCCAGAAACTGTGTAGTGATGTGTGTGTTTAACTCACAGAGTTTAACCTTTCTTTTCATAAAACATTCTGGAAACACTCTGTTTGTAAAGTCTGCAAGTGCATATTTAGACCTCTTAGATGCCTTCGTTGGAAACGGGATTTCTTCATATTATGCTAGACAGAAGAATTCTCAGTAACTTCCTTGTGTTGTGTGTATTCAAGTCACAGAGTTGAACGATCCTTTACACAGAGCAGATTTGAAACACTCTTTTTCTGGAATTTGCAAGTGGAGATTTCAGCCGCTTTGAGGTCAATGGTAGAAAAGGAAATATCTTCGTATAAAAACTAGACAGAATGATTCTCAGAAACTCCTTTGTGATGTGTGCGTTCAACTCACAGAGTTTAACCTTTCTTTTCATAGAGCAGTTAGGAAACACTCTGTTTGTGAAGTCTGCCAGTGGATATTCGGACCTCTTTGAGGCCTTCGTTAGAAACGGGATTTCTTCATATTATGCTAGACAGAAGATTTCTCAGTAACTACTTTGTGTTGTGTGTATGCCACTCACAGAGTTCAACCTTCCTTTAGACAGAGCAGATTTGAAACACTCTTTTTGTGGAATTTGCAAGTGGAGATTTCAAGCGCTTCGATGCCAATGGTAGAAAAGGAAATATCTTCGTATAAAAACAAGACAAAATCATTCCCAGAAACTGCGTAGTGATGTGTGTGTTTAACTCACAGATTTTAACCTTTCTTTTCATACAGCATTCTGGAAACACTCTGTTTGTAATGTCTACAAGTGGATATTTGGAGCTCTTAGATGCCTTCGTTGGAAACGGGATTTCTTCATATAATTCTAGAGGGAAGAATTCTTAGTAACCTCTTTGTGTTATGTGTATTCAACTGATGCAGTTGAACCTTCCTTTAGACAGAGCAGATTCGAAACACTCTTTTTCTGGAATTTCCAAGTGGAGACTTCAAGCCCTTTCAGGCCAAAGGCAGAAAAGGCATTATCCTCGTATAAAAACCAGACATAATCATTCTCAGAAACTGCTCTGTGATGTGTGCGTTCAAGTCACAGAGTTTAACTTTTCTTTTCATTCAGCAGTTTGGAAACGCTCTGTTTCTAAAGTCTGCAAGTGGATATATTGACCTCTTTGAGGCCTTCCTTGGAAACGGGTTTTTTTCATGTAAGGCTAGACAGAAGAATTCCCAGTAACTTCTTTGTGTTGTGTGCATTCAACTCACAGAGTTGGACGTTCCTTTAGACAGAGCAGATTTGAAACACTCTTTTTGTGCAATTTGCAAGTGGAGATTTCAAGCGCTTTAAGGTCAATGGCAGAAAAGAAAATACCTTCGTTTCAAAACTAGACAGTATCATTCCCACAAACTGCGTTATGATGTGTGCATTCAACTCACAGAGTTTAACCTTTCTTTTCATAGAGCCGTTTGTAAGCACTCTGTTTGTCAAGTCTGCAGGTGGATATTCTGACCACTTTGAGGACTTCGTTGGAAACAGGATTTCGTCCTATAATACTAGACAGAAGAATTCTCAGTAACTTCCTTCTGTTGTGTGTATTCAACTCACAGAGTTGAACCATCTTTTACACAGAGCAGATCTGAAACACTCTTTTTGTGGAATTTGCAAGTGGAGATTTCAGCCACCTTGAGGTCAATGGTAGAAAAGGAAATATCTTCGTATAAAAACTAGACAGAATGATTCTCAGAAACTCCTTTGTGATGTGTGCGTTCAACTCACTGAGTTTAACCTTTCTTTTCATACAGCATTCTGGAAACACCCTGTTTCTAAAGTCTGCAAGTGGATATCTGGACCTCTTAGATGCCTTCGTTGGAAACGGGATTTCTCCATATACTGCAAGAGGGAAGAATTCTTAGTAACATCTTTGTGTTGTGTGTATTCAACTGACAGAGTTGAACCTTCCTTTACACAGAGCAGATTTGAAACACTCTTTTTGTGGAATTTGCAAGTGGAGATTTCAGTCGCTTTGAGGCCAAAAGCAGAAAAGGAAATATTTTCCTATAAAAACTAGATAGAATCATTCTCAAAACTGCTCTGTGATGTGTGCGTTCAACTCACAGAGTTTAACTTTTCATTCAGCAGTTTGGAAACACTCTGTTTGTAAAGTCTGCAACTGGATATTTTGACCTCTTTGAGGCCTTCGTTGAAAACGGGTTTTTTTCATGTAAGGCTAGAAGAAGAAATCTCAGTAACTTCCTTGTGTTGTGGGTATTGAACTGAGAGAGTTGAACCTTCCTTTAGACAGAGCAGATTCGAAACACTCTTTTTGTGCAATTTGCAAGTGGAAACTTCAAGCGCTTTGAGGCCAAAGGCAGAAAAGGAAATATCTTCGTATAAAAACCCGACAGAATCATTCTCAGAAACTGCTCTGTGATGTGTGCGTTCAACTCACAGAGTTTAACTTTTCTTTTCATTCAGCACTTTGCAAACACTCTGTTTGTAAAGTCTACAAGTGGATATATTGACCTCTTTGAGGCCTTCGTTGGAAAAGGGTTTTTTCATGTAAGGCTAGACAGAGGAATTCCCAGTAACTTCCTTGTGTTGTGTGCATTCAACTCACAGAGTTGAATGATTCTTTACACAGAGCAGATTTGAGACACTCTTTTGGTGGAATCTGTAAGTGGAGAATTCAGCCGCTTTGAGGTCAATGGTAGAAAAGGAAATATCTTCCTATAAAAACAAGACAAAATCATTCCCAGAAACTGCGTAGTGATGTGTGTGTTTAACTCACAGAGTTTAACCTTTCTTTTCATACAGCATTCTGGAAACACTCTGTTTGTAAAGTCTACAAGTGCATATTTGGACCTCTTTGATGCCTTCGTTGGAAACGGGATTTCTTCATATAATGCTAGAGGGAAGAATTCTTAATAAGTTCTTTGTGTTGTGTGTATTCAACTGACAGATTTGAACCTTCCTTTAGACAGAGCAGATTTGAAACACCCTTTTTGTGGAATTTCAAGTGGAGACTTCAAGTGCTTTGAGGCCAAAGGCAGAAAAGGAAATATCTTCGTATAAAAACCAGACAGAATCATTCTCAGAAACTGCTCTGTGATGTGTGCGTTCAACTCACAGAGTTTAACTTTTCTTTTCATTCAGCAGTTTGGAAACACTCTTTTTGTAAAGTCTGCACGTGGATATATTGACCTCTTTGAGGCCTTCGTTGCAATCGGGTTTTTTTCATGTAAGGCTAGACAGAGGAATTCCCAGTAACTTCCTTCTGTTGTGTCCATTCAACTCACGGAGTTGAACGTTCCTTTAGACAGAGCAGATTTGAAACACTCTTTTTCTGCAATTTGCAAGTGGAGACTTCAAGCGCTTTAAGGTCAATGGCAGAAAAAGAAGTATCTTCGTTTCAAAATTAGACAGTATCATTCCCACAAACTGCGTTGTGATGTGTGCGTTCAACTCACAGAGTTTAACCTTTCTTTTCATAGAGCCGTTTGTAAACGCTCTGTTTGTCAAGTCTGCAAGTGGATATTCTGACCTCTTTGAGGACTTCTTTGGAAACGGGATTTCTTCCTATAATACTAGACAGAAGAATTCTCAGTAACTTCCTTGTGTTGTGTGTATTCAACTCACAGACTTGAACGATCCTTTACACAGAGCAGATTTGAGACACTCTTTTTGTGGAATATGTAAGTGGAGATTTCAGCCGCTTTGAGGTCAATGGTAGAAAAGGAAATATCTTCGTATAAAAACTACACAGAATGATTCTCAGAAACTGCTTTGTGATGTGCCCTTTCAACTCACAGACTTTAACCTTTCTTTTCATAGAACAGTTAGCAAACACTCTGTTTGTAAAGTCTGCAAGTGGATATACAGACCTCTTTGAGGCCTTCGTTGGAAACGGGATTTCTTCATTTTATGCTAGACAGAAGAATTCTCAGTAACTACCTTGTGTTGTGTGTATTTAACTCACAGAGTTGAACCATCTTCTACACAGAGCAGATCTGAAACACTCTTTTTGTGGGATTTGCAAGTGGAGATTTCAGCCAACTTGAGGTCAATGGTAGAAAAGGAAATATCTTCGTATACAAACTAGACAGAATGATTCTCAGCAACTCCTTTGTGATGTGTGCGTACAACACACAGACTTTAACCTTTCTTTTTATACAGCATTCTGGAAACACTCTGTTTGTAAAGTCTGCAAGTGGATATCTGGACCTCTTAGATGCCTTCGTTGGAAACGGGATTTCTTCATATAATGCTAGAGGGAAGAATTCTTAATAAGTTCTTTGTGTTGTGTGTATTCAACTGACAGATTTGAACCTTCCTTTAGACAGAGCAGATTTGTAACACCGTTTTTGTGAAATTTCAAGTGGAGACTTCAAGCGCTTTGAGGCCAAAGGCAGAAAAGGAAATATCTTCATATAAAAACCCGACAGAATCATTCTCAGAAACTGCTCTCTGATGTGTGCGTTCAACTCACAGAGTTTAACTTTTCTTTTCATTCACCAGTTTGGAAACACTCTTTTTGTAAAATCTGCAAATGGATATATTGACCTCTTTGAGGCCTTCGTTGCAAACGGGTTTTTTTCATGTAAGGCTAGACAGAGGAATTCCCAGTAACTTCCTTGTGTTGTGTGCATTCAACTCACAGAGTTGAACATTCCTTTAGACAGAGCAGATTTGAAACACTCTTTTTGTGCAATTTGCAAGTGGAGACTTCAAGAGCTTAAAGGTCAATGGCAGAAAAAGAAATATCTTCGTTTCAAAACTAGACAGTATCATTCCCACAAACTGCGTTGTGATGTGTGCGTTCAACTCACAGAGTTTAACCTTTCTTTTCATAGAGCCGTTTGTAAGCGCTCTGTTTGTAAAGTCTGCAAGTGGATATCTTGGCCTCTTAGAGGCCTTCGTTGGAAACGGGTTTTTTTCATATAAGGTTAGACAGAGGAATTCCCAGTAACTTCCTTGTGTTGTGTGCATTCAACTCACAGAGTTGAATGATTCTTTACACAGAGCAGATTTGAGACACTCTTTTGGTGGAATTTGTAAGTGGAGAATTCCGCCGCTTTGAGGTCAATGGTAGGCAAGGAAATATCTTCGTATAAAAACAAGACAGAATGATTCTCAGAAACTGTTTTGTGATGTGTGCGTTCAACTCACAGAGTTTAACCTTTCTTTTCAAAGAGCAGTTAGGAAACACTCTGTTTGTAAAGTCTGCAAGTGGATATTCAGACCTCTTTGAGGCCTTCGTTGGAAACGGGATTTCTTCATATTATGCTAGACAGAAGAATTCTCAGTAACTTCCTTGTGTTGTGTGTATTCAACTCACAGAGTTGAACGATCCTTTACACAGAGCAGATTTGAAACACTCTTTTTCTGGAATTTGCAAGTGGAGATTTCAGCCGCTTTGAGGTCAATGGTAGAAAAGGAAATATCTTCGTATAAAAACTAGACAGAATGATTCTCAGAAACTCCTTTGTGATGTGTGCGTTCAACTCACAGAGTTTAACCTTTCTTTTCACAGACCAGTTAGGAAACACTCTGTGAAGTCTGCCAGTGGATATTAGTACCTCTTTGAGGCCTTCGTTGGAAACGGGATTTCTTCATATTATGCTAGACAGATTTCTCAGTAACTACTTTGTGTTGTGTGTATGCAACTCACAGAGTTCATCCTTCCTTTAGACAGAGCAGATTTGAAACACTCTTTTTGTGGAATTTGCAAGTGGAGATTTCAAGCGCTTCGACGCCAATGGTCGAAAAGGAAATATCTTCGTATAAAAACAAGACAAAATCATTCCCAGAAACTGCGTAGTGCTGTGTGTGTTTAACTCACAGAGTTTAACCTTTCTTTTCATACAGCATTCTGGAAACCCTCTGTTTGTAAAGTCTGCAAGTGGATATTTGGACGTCTTAGATGCCTTCGTTGGAAACGGGATTTCTTCATATAATGCTAGAGGGAAGAATTCTTAGTAACTTCTTTGTGTTGTGTATATTCAACTGACAGAGTTGAACCTTCCTTTAGACAGAGCAGATTTGAAAGTCTCTTTTTGTGGAATTTGCAAGTGGAGATTTCAAGCGCTTTGAGGCCAAAAGCAGAAAAGGAAATATTCTCCTATAAAAACTAGACAGAATCATTCTCAGAAACTGCTCTGTGATGTGTGCGTTCAACTCACAGAGTTTAACTTTTCTTTTCATTCAGCAGTTTGGAAACACTCTGTTTGAAAAGTCTGCCGTGGATATTTTGACCTCTTTGAGGCCTTCGTTGGAAACGGGTTTTTTTCATGTAAGGCTAGACAGAGGAAATCTCTGTAACTTCCTTCTGTTGTGTGTATTCAACTGACAGAGTTGAACCTTCCTTTAGACAGAGCAGATTCGAAGCACTCTTTTTCTGCAATTTGCAAGTGGAGACTTCAAGCGCTTTGAGGCCAAAGGCAGAAAAGGAAATATCTTCGTATAAAAACCCGACAGAATCATTCTCAGAAACTGCTCTGTGATGTGTGCGTTCAACTCACAGAGTTTAACTTTTCTTTTCATTCAGCAGTTTGGAAACACTCTGTTTATAAAGTCTGCAAGTGGATATATTGGCATCTTAGAGGCCTTCGTTGGAAACGGGTTTTTATCATGTAAGGTTATTCAGAGGAATTCCCAGTAACTTCCTTGTGTTGTGTGCATTCAACTCACAGAGTTGAATGATTCTTTACACAGAGCAGATTTGAGACACTCTTTTAGTGGAATTTGTATGTGGAGAATTCAGCCGCTTTGAGGTCAATGGTAGAAAAGGAAATATCTTCGTATAAAAACTAGACAGAATGATTCTCAGAAACTGTTTTGTGATGTGTGCGTTCAACTCACAGAGTTTAACCTTTCTTTTCAAAGAGCAGTTAGGAAACACTCTGTTTGTAAAGTCTGCCAGTGGATATTCAGACCTCTTTGAGGCCTTCGTTGGAAACGGGATTTCTTCATATTATGCTAGACAGAAGAATTCTCAGTAACTTCCTTGTGTTGTGTGTATTCAACTCACAGAGTTGAACGATCCTTTACACAGAGCCGATTTGAAACACTCTTTTTCTGGAATTTGCAAGTGGAGATTTCAGCCGCTTTGAGGTCAATGGTAGAAAAGGAAATATCTTCGTATAAAAACTAGACAGAATGATTCTCAGAAACTCCTTTGTGATGTGTGCGTTCAACTCACAGAGTTTAACCTTTCTTTTCACAGAGCAGTTAGGAAACACTCTGTTTGTGAAGTCTGCCAGTGGATATTCGGACCTCTTTGAGGCCTTCGTTGGAAACGGGATTTCTTCATATTATGCTAGACAGATTTCTCAGTAACTACTTTGTGTTGTGTGTATGCAACTCACAGAGTTCAACCTTCCTTTAGACAGAGCAGATTTGAAACACTCTTTTTGTGGAATTTGCAAGTGGAGATTTCAAGCGCTTCGACGCCAATGGTCGAAAAGGAAATATCTTCGTATAAAAACAAGACAAAATCATTCCCAGAAACTGCGTAGTGCTGTGTGTGTTTAACTCACAGAGTTTTACCTTTCTATTCATACACCATTCTGGAAACCCTCTGTTTGTAAAGTCTGCAAGTGGATATTTGGACCTCTTAGATGCCTTCGTTGGAAACGGGATTTCTTCCCATAATGCTAGAGGGAAGAATTCTTAGTAACTTCTTTGTGTTGTGTGTATTCAACTGACAGAGTTGAACCTTCCGTTAGACACAGCAGATTTGAAAGTCTCTTTTTGTGGAATTTGCAAGTGGAGATTTCAAGCGCTTTGAGGCCAAAAGCAGAAAAGGAAATATTTTCCTATAAAAACTAGACAGAATCATTCTCAGAAACTGCTCTGTGATGTGTGCGTTCAACTCACAGAGTTTAACATTTCTTTTCATTCAGCAGTTAGGAAACACTCTGTTTGTAAAGTCTGCAAGTGGATATTCAGACCTCTTTGAGGCCTTCGTTGGAAACGGGATTTCTTCATATTATGCTAGACAGAAGAATTCTCAGTAACTTCCTTGTGTTGTGTGTATTCAACTCACAGAGTTGAACGATCCTTTACACAGAGCAGATTTGAAACACTCTTCTTCTGGAATTTGCAAGTGGAGATTTCAGCCGCTTTGAGGTCAATGGTAGAAAAGGAAATATCTTCGTATAAAAACTAGACAGAATGATTCTCAGAAACTCCTTTGTGATGTGTGCGTTCAACTCACAGAGTCTAACCTTTCTTTTCACAGAGCAGTTAGGAAACACTCTGTTTGTGAAGTCTGCCAGTGGATATTCGGACCTCTTTGTGGCCTTCGTTGGAAACGGGATTTCTTCATATTATGCTACACAGATTTCTCAGTAACTACTTTGTGTTGTGTGTATGCAACTCACAGAGTTCAACTTTCCTTTAGAGAGAGCAGATTTGAAACACTCTTTTTGTGGAATTTGCAAGTGGAGATTTCAAGCGCTTTGATGCCAATGGTAGAAAAGGAAATATCTTCGTATAAAAACAAGACAAACTCGTTCCCAGAAACTGCGTAGTGATGTGTGTGTTTAACTCACAGACTTTAACCCTTCTTTTCATACAGAACTCTGGAAACCCTCTGTTTGTAAAGTCTGCAAGTGGATATTTGGACCTCTTAGATGCCTTCGTTGGAAACGGGATTTCTTCATATAATGCTAGAGGGAAGAATTCTTAGTAACTTCTTTGTGTTGTGTGTATTCAACTGACAGAGTTGAACCTTCCTTTAGACAGACCAGATTTGAAAGTCTCTTTTTGTGGAATTTGCAAGTGGAGATTTCAAGCGCTTTGAGGCCAAATGCAGAAAAGGAAATATTTTCCTATAAAAACTAGACAGAATCATTCTCAGAAACTGCTCTGTGATGTGTGCGTTCAACTCACAGAGTTTAACTTTTCTTTTCATTCAGCAGTTTGGAAACACTCTGTTTGTAAAGTCTGCCATGGATAATTTGACCTCTTTGAGGCCTTCGTTGGAAACGGGTTTTTTTCATGTAAGGCTAGACAGAGGAAATCTCTGTAACTTCCTTGTGTTGTGTGTATTCAACTGACAGGGTTGAACCTTCCTTTAGACAGAGCAGATTCCAAACACTCTTTTTCTGCAATTTGCAAGTGGAGACTTCAAGCGCTTTGAGGCCAAAGGCAGAAAAGGAAATATCTTCGTATAAAAACCCGACAGAATCATTCTCAGAAACTGCTCTGTGATGTGTGCGTTCAACTCACAAAGTTTAACTTTTCTTTTCATTCAGCAGTTTGGAAACACTCTGTTTGTAAAGTCTGCAAGTGGATATATTGGCTTCTTAGAGGCCTTCGTTGGAAACGGGTTTTTTTCATGTAAGGTTAGACAGAGGAATTCCCAGTAACTTCCTTGTGTTGTGTGCATTCAACTCACAGAGTTGAATGATTCTTTACACAGAGCAGATTTGAGACACTCTTTTGGTGGAATTTGTAAGTGGAGAATTCAGCCGCTTTGAGGTCAATGGTAGAAAAGGAAATATCTTCGTATAAAAACTAGACAGAATGATTCTCAGAAACTGTTTTGTGATGTGTGCGTTCAACTCACAGAATTTAACCCTTCTTTTCAAAGACCAGTTAGGAAACACTCTGTTTGTAAAGTCTGCAAGTGGATATTCAGACCTCTTTGAGGCCTTCGTTGGAAACGGGATTTCTTCATATTATGCTAGACAGAACAATTCTCAGTAACTTCCTTGTGTTGTGTGTATTCAACTCACAGAGTTGAACGATCCTTTACACAGAGCAGATTTGAAACACTCTTTTTCTGGAATTTGCAAGTGGAGATTTCAGCCGCTTTGAGGTCAATGGTAGAAAAGGAAATATCTTCATATAAAAACTAGACAGAATGATTCTCAGAAACTCCTTTGTGATGTGTGCGTTCAACTCACAGAGTTTAAACTTTCTTTTCACAGAGCAGTTAGGAAACACTCTGTTTGTGAAGTCTGCCAGTGGATATTCGGACCTCTTTGAGGCCTTCGTTGGAAACGGGATTTCTTCATATTATGCTAGACAGATTTCTCAGTAACTACTTTGTGTTGTGTATATGCAACTCACAGAGTTCAACCTTCCTTTAGAGAGAGCAGATTTGAAACACTCTTTTTGTGGAATTTGGAAGTGGAGATTTCAAGCGCTTCGACGCCAATGGTCGAAAAGGAAATATCTTCGTATAAAAACAAGACAAAATCATTCCCAGAAACTGCGTAGTGATGTGTGTGTTTAACTCACAGACTTTAACCTTTCTTTTCATACAGAACTCTGGAAACCCTCTGTTTGTAAAGTCTGCAAGTGTATATTTGGACCTCTTAGATGCCTTCGTTGGAAATGGGATTTCGTCATATAATGGTAGAGGGAAGAATTCTCAGTAACTTCTTTGTGTTGTGTGTATTCAACTGACAGAGTTGAACCTTCCTTTAGACAGAGCAGATTTGAAAGTCTCTTTTTGTGGAATTTGCAAGTGGAGATTTCAAGCACTTTGAGGCCAAAAGCAGAAAAGGAAATATTTTCCTATAAAAACTAGACAGAATCATTCTCAGAAACTGCTCTGTGATGTGTGCGTTCAACTCACAGAGTTTAAGTTTTCTTTTCATTCAGCAGTTTGGAAACACTCTGTTTGTAAAGTCTGCCGTGGATATTTTGACCTCTTTGAGGCCTTGGTTGGAAACGGGTTTTTTTCATGTAAGGCCAGACAGAGGAAATCTCAGTAACTTCCTTGTGTTGTGTGTATTCAACTGACAGGGTTGAACCTTCCTTTAGACAGAGCAGATTCCAAACACTCTTTTTCTGCAATTTGCAAGTGGAGACTTCAAGCGCTTTGAGGCCAAAGGCAGAAAAGGAAATATCTTCGTATAAAAACCCGACAGAATCATTCTCAGAAACTGCTCTGTGATGTGTGCGTTCAACTCACAGAGTTTAACTTTTCTTTTCATTCAGCAGTTTGGAAACACTCTGTTTGTAAAGTCTGCAAGTGGATATATTGGCCTCTTAGAGGCCTTCGTTGGAAACAGGTTTTTTTCATGTAAGGTTAGACAGAGGAATTCCCAGTAACTTCCTTGTGTTGTGTGCATTCAACTCACAGAGTTGAATGATTCTTTACACAGAGCAGATTTGAGACACTCTTTTGGTGGAATTTGTAGATGGAGAATTCAGCCGCTTTGAGGTCAATGGTAGAAAAGGAAATATCTTCGTATAAAACCTAGACAGAATGATTCTCAGAAACTGTTTTGTGATGTGTGCGTTCAACTCACAGAGTTTAACCTTTCTTTTCAAAGAGCAGCTAGGAAACACTCTGTTTGTAAAGTCTGCAAGTGGATATTCAGACCTCTTTGAGGCCTTCGTTGGAAACGGGATTTCTTCATATTATGCTAGACAGATTTCTCAGTAACTACTTTGTGTTGTGTGTATGCAACTCACAGAGTTCATCCTTCCTTTAGACAGAGCAGATTTGAAACACTCTTTATGTGGAATTTGCAAGTGGAGATTTCAAGCGCTTCGACGCCAATGGTCGAAAAGGAAATATCTTCGTATAAAAACAAGACAAAATCATTCCCAGAAACTGCGTAGTGATGTGTGTGTTTAACTCACAGAGTTTAACCTTTCTTTTCATACAGCATTCTGGAAACCCTCTGTTTGTAAAGTCTGCAAGTGGATATTTGGATCTCTTAGATGCCTTCGTTGGAAACGGGATTTCTTCATATAATGCTAGAGGAAGAATTCTTAGTAACTTCTTTGTGTTGTGTGTATTCAACTGACAGAATTGAACCTTCCTTTAGACAGAGCAGATTTGAAAGTCTCTTTTTGTGGAATTTGCAAGTGGAGATTTCAAGCACTTTGAGGCCAAAAGCAGAAAAGGAAATATTTTCCTATAAAAACTAGACAGAATCATTCTCAGAAACTGCTCTGTGATGTGTGCGTTCAACTCACAGAGTTTAACTTTTCTTTTCATTCAGCAGTTTGGAAACACTCTGTTTGGAAAGTCTGCACGTGGATATTTTGACTTCTTTGACGCCTTCGTTGGAAACTGGTTTTTTTCATGTAAGGCTAGACAGAGGAAATCTCAGTAACTTCCTTGTGTTGTGTGTATTCAACTGACAGGGTTGAACCTTCCTTTAGACAGAGCAGATTCCAAACATCTTTTTCTGCAATTTGCAAGTGGAGACTTCAAGCGCTTTGAGGCCAAAGGCAGAAAAGGAAATATCTTCGTATAAAAACACGAACAGAATCATTCTCAGAAACTGCTCTGTGATGTGTGCGTTCAACTCACAGAGTTTACATTTCTTTTCATTCTGAAGTTTGGAAACACTCTGTTTGTAAAGTCTGCAAGTGGATATATTGGCCTCTTAGAGGCCTTCGTTGGAAACGGGTTTTTTTCATGTAAGGTTAGACAGAGGAATTCCCAGTAACTTCCTTCTGTTGTGTGCATTCAACTCACAGAGTTGAATGATTCTTTACACAGAGCAGATTTGAGACACTCTTTTGGTGGAATTTGTAAGTGGAGAATTCAGCCGCTTTGAGGTCAATGGTAGAAAAGGAAATATCTTCGTATAAAAACTAGACAGAATGATTCTCAGAAACTGTTTTGTGATGTGTGCGTTCAACTCACAGAGTTTAACCTTTCTTTTCAAAGAGCAGTTAGGAAACACTCTGTTTGTAAAGTCTGCAAGTGGATATTCAGACCTCTTTGAGGCCTTTGTTGGAAACGGGATTTCTTCATATTATGCTAGACAGAAGAATTCTCAGTAACTTCCTTGTGTTGTGTGTATTCAACTCACAGAGTTGAACGATCCTTTACACAGAGCAGATTTGAAACACTCTTTTTCTGGAATTTGCAAGTGGAGATTTCAGCCGCTTTGAGGTCAATGGTAGAAAAGGAAATATCTTCGTATAAAAACTAGACAGAATGATTCTCAGAAACTCCTTTGTGATGTGTGCGTTCAACTCACAGAGTTTAACCTTTCTTTTCACAGAGCAGTTAGGAAACACTCTGTGAAGTCTGCCAGTGGATATTCGGACCTCTTTGAGGACTTCTTTGGAAACGGGATTTCTTCATATTATGCTAGACAGATTTCTCAGTAACTACTTTGTGTTGTGTGTATGCAACTCACAGAGTTCATCCTTCCTTTAGACAGAGCAGATTTGAAACACTCTTTTTGTGGAATTTGCAAGTGGAGATTTCAAGCGCTTCGACGCCAATGGTCGAAAAGGAAATATCTTCTTATAAAAACAAGACAAAATCATTCCCAGAAACTACGTAGTGATGTGTGTGTTTAACTCACAGACTTTAACCTTTCTTTTCATACAGCATTCTGGAAACCCTCTGTTTGTAAAGTCTGCAAGTGGATATTTGGACCTCTTAGATGCCTTCGTTGGAAACGGGATTTCTTCATATAATGCTAGAGGGAAGAATTCTTAGTAACTTCTTTGTGTTGTGTGTATTCAACTGACAGAGTTGAACCTTCCTTTAGAAAGAGCAGATTTGAAAGTCTCTTTTTGTGGAATTTGCAAGGGGAGATTCCAAGCGCTTGAGGCCAAAACAGAAAAGGAAATATTTTCCTATAAAAACTAGACAGAATCATTCTCAGAAACTGCTCTGTGATGTGTGCGTTCAACTCACAGAGTTTAACTTTTCTTTTCATTCAACAGTTTGGAAACAATCTGTTTGTAAAGTCTGCCGTGGATATTTTGACCTCTTTGAGGCCTTCGTTGGAAATGGGTTTTTTTCATGTAAGGCTAGACAGAGGAAATCTCAGTAACTTCCTTGTGTTGTGTGTATTCAACTGACAAGGTTGAACCTTCCTTTAGACAGAGCAGATTCCAAACACTCTTTTTCTGCAATTTGCAAGTGGAGACTTCAAGCGCTTTGAGGCCAAAGGCAGAAAAGGAAATATCTTCGTATAAAAACCCGACAGAATCATTCTCAGAAACTGCTCTGTGATGTGTGCGTTCAACTCACAGAGTTTAACTTTTCTTTTCATTCAGCAGTTTGGAAACACTCTGTTTCTAAAGTCTGCAAGTGGATATGTTGGCCTCTTAGAGGCCTTCGTTGGAAACGGGTTTTTTTCATGTAAGGTTAGACAGAGGAATTCCCAGTAACTTCCTTGTGTTGTGTGCATTCAACTCACAGAGTTGAATGATTCTTTACACAGAGCAGATTTGAGACACTCTTTTGGTGGAATTTGTAAGTGGAGAATTCAGCCGCTTTGAGGTCAACGGTAGAAAAGGAAATATCTTCGTATAAAAACTAGACAGAATGATTCTCAGAAACTGTTTTGTGATGTGTGCGTTCAACTCACAGAGTTTAACCTTTCTTTTCAAAGAGCAGTTAGGAAACACTCTGTTTGTAAAGTCTGCAAGTGGATATTCAGACCTCTTTGAGGCCTTCGTTGGAAACGGGATTTCTTCATATTATGCTAGACAGAAGAATTCTCAGTAACTTCCTTGTGTTGTGTGTATTCAACTCACAGAGTTGAACGATCCTTTACACAGAGCAGATTTGAAACACTCTTTTTCTGGAATTTGCAAGTGGAGATTTCAGCCGCTTTGAGGTCAATGGTAGAAAAGGAAATATCTTCGTATAAAAACTAGACAGAATGATTCTCAGAAACTCCTTTGTGATGTGTGCGTTCAACTCACAGAGTTTAACCTTTCTTTTCACAGAGCAGTTAGGAAACACTCTGTGAAGTCTGCCAGTGGATATTCGGACCTCTTTGAGGCCTTCGTTGGAAACGGGATTTCTTCATATTATGCTAGACAGATTTCTCAGTAACTACTTTGTGTTGTGTGTATGCAACTCACAGAGTTCATCCTTCCTTTAGACAGAGCAGATTTGAAACACTCTTTTTGTGGAATTTGCAAGTGGAGATTTCAAGCGCTTCGACGCCAATGGTCGAAAAGGAAATATCTTCGTATAAAAACAAGACAAAATCATTCCCAGAAACTGCGTAGTGATGTGTGTGTTTAACTCACAGACTTTAACCTTTCTTTTCATACAGAACTCTGGAAACCCTCTGTTTGTAAAGTCTGCAAGTGGATATTTGGACCTCTTAGATGCCTTCGTTGGAAACGGGATTTCTTCATATAATGCTAGAGGGAAGAATTCTTAGTAACTTCTTTGTGTTGTGTGTATTCAACTGACAGAGTTGAACCTTCCTTTAGACAGAGCAGATTTGAAAGTCTCTTTTTGTGGAATTTGCAAGTGGAGATTTCAAGCGCTTTGAGGCCAAAAGCAGAAAAGGAAATATTTTCCTATAAAAACTAGACAGAATCATTCTCAGAAACTGCTCTGTGATGTGTGCGTTCAACTCACAGAGTTTAACTTTTCTTTTCATTCAGCAGTTTGGAAACACTCTGTTTGTAAAGTCTGCCGTGGATATTTTGACCTCTTTGAGGCCTTCGTTGGAAATGGGTTTTTTTCATGTAAGGCTAGACAGAGGAAATCTCAGTAACTTCCTTGTGTTGTGTGTATTCAACTGACAAGGTTGAACCTTCCTTTAGACAGAGCAGATTCCAAACACTCTTTTTCTGCAATTTGCAAGTGGAGACTTCAAGCGCTTTGAGGCCAAAGGCAGAAAAGGAAATATCTTCGTATAAAAACCCGACAGAATCATTCTCAGAAACTGCTCTGTGATGTGTGCGTTCAACTCACAGAGTTTAACTTTTCTTTTCATTCAGCAGTTTGGAAACACTCTGTTTCTAAAGTCTGCAAGTGGATATGTTGG